>NC_000006.12:95222305-95373820 GCF_000001405.40 Homo sapiens | reverse complement strand
GGGTTCACTAGAGAAACAGAATAAATAGGAAGTGTGTGTGTGTGTGTGTGTGTGTGTGTGTTTAGAGAGAGAGAGAGACAGACAGAAAGAGACAAAGACATTTCAGGAGTAGAAGACCAGTCTCCCAGGTCAAGCAGGCAGGCAGGAAGCAAAAAGCGGTGAATTTAGCTTCTTTGCCTTTTTGTTCTTTTTGGGCCTTCAACGGATTAAATGATGCCCACTCACTCTGGGGAGGTCAATCTACTTTACTGAGTGATTATCAAATAATTATAAAAGATATGTGAATAAACTGCCATAAGTACTTTTTTATGTGTATGAGAGATGGCTCATTTCCTTTACAAAAAAAGAACTAAATATCTAAAATTAATAGAGCTAGTGACATAGCCGGAATAATACAATAATTGTATTATTAATTACTAGGAAAATACAATTTAAATTCCTTTTCAACCTTCTTTAAAAGCAATATTAGGTATTTTATCAATGAGGAGGCAGAAGTTTCCATATACACTATTAGACTTGGGGTAAATAACAGCTATCACTAAAAATAGAAGTCCAGGATCTTCCTGCTTTTTGATGAGCCCTTGGGGCAAGCCAAGCTTGGAGCACGTCGAGGATGAAACCCCGTACAGCTATCTTCTGGTACCAACATCTGAGAATCCTGGGGACAGACAAATACAGTAGTATTTTCCAGGATATCCTAAAATGTCAAAACGTTCTTAAAATTTAATATATATTTAAATATTTATTTCTTTTCCTCAGGATAATTATGGCAATAATACATTTTGATCATACTAAATATAACTCAAATAAGTCTGACCAACTTATGTATATACTCTCAGATAAATTTCACATTTCAGAACAAAATGAATTTGTAAAGCTTATCAGTTCTGTGAAAAATCTCTTTAAAGGTTGGTTCTTACTATTTATTGTTACACCTAAACAAGAAAGAACTGTATATTAAATCTGACCAAGTACATTAAGACAAGTATGATTGTGTATGAATGTACATCTCAATCATATCTGTCTCAGAGAGTTATAAAAGAGCCACGAATACCTCCCTCCTGTGAAATAACATGTAATTATAAACAATAGAGTTGTTTGCTTTAAAAATATGTGAATGTATACCACATTTTCTTTATCAATTCATTTGTTGTTGATGGACACTTAGGTTCCTTCCAAATCCTGGCTATTGTGAGCAGTGCTTTATTATGCATTGCATGCTTGTGTCAAAATATTTCATGTACCCCATAAATATATAGACCTACTATGTACCCACAAAATAAAAAATAAGCAACAAATAAATCTATTAAAAGTTATGAAAAAATATAAATTTCAGTTAGGTTTAAACTTATGGGAAAAAGTTTAAATTTTTTAAGAGAGATGAAACACATGTGGGACTATCTAATACTGATTTTAGTGGAGAATACAGGTAAGAAGAATGCCACTTGTTTGTTTCTAGGCAACATTTATATCTGGACTGTTTACCTTATTGCTTATTTTAAAAGAACTGATTCTTAGGTCAGGCTAGAAAAGGAAGTCATCCCTAACATTTAGCAATTAATAAATGAAAAAGTTGGGGTTACCTGTTGTTGGGTTACCAGAAGAAGGATACATTATAAGATGACAGAGAATGTAAGTTATAGTAGGAAAGAAAAGCTATCTAAAAGTGAATTTAAATAGAAATGCAGCCGGGAGTGGTGGCTCATGCCTGTAATCCTAGCACTTTGGGAGGCCGAGGTGGGCAGATCACGAGGTCAAGAGATCAAGACCATCCTGGCCAGCATGGTGGAAACCCTGCTCTACCAAAAATACAAAAATTAGTTGGGTGTGGCAGTGTGCACCTGTAGTCCCAACTACTCGGGAGGCTGAGGGAGGAGAATCGCTTGAACCCAGGAGGCGGAGGTTGCAATGAGCAGAGATCACGCCACTGCATTCCAGCCTGGGTGGCAGAGTGAGACTCTGTCTCAAAAAAAAAAAAAAAAAAAAAAAAAAAACAACAAGAATAGAAATGCAAATATGTTATAAACTACATGTAGTGGAAGGTTGGAATAGGAATATTACTGACAGGTTCAAAATACATTCTCATTGGGTTATAGTTTGATTATTAACTTCTAACATTTCAAGTTGGCTATTGTGAACAGTGCTTCTCAAATTAGAAGTCCTATATTATATATACAATCAGCCAAGATATAGCTATCTGTACTTGTCACAATAGTACATAGACTAGAATTGATGAGGAACTTGGTTTCTCCCAAGAGACTATAAATGGAAATAACTAACCTTCCAGTTAAAATACAGCTC
Source organism: Homo sapiens (assembly GCF_000001405.40). Lineage (NCBI taxonomy): Eukaryota > Metazoa > Chordata > Mammalia > Primates > Hominidae > Homo > Homo sapiens. Next base: position 95,371,519 of record NC_000006.12, on the reverse strand, counting down.
CTATCCATGAAAAGATATTCTCTAGGTGAGAAAAACTTATGTATTGATTTACAGTCTTATCTCATAAACAGAAAAAGCTTGACTTGGTGTTTCTTTTGTTTGTCAGTTGGCATGCTTTGCTGAGCAATTATGGAAGCTTATGTCCAATATTTTAATGATGAGTAGGGGCTAAAGCTATCTCCAAAATATAGAGACATTGGCCAGAGTTACATCAGTACAAATACTGATTATATTCTTGATTTGCTAGAGATAGTGCAGCAAAGGAGTAAGTTTTAATGTTCAAGCCATCCTAACTGTTCTGAAAGTCTCCAGGTGTGTGTTTGAACAATAAGTACATGGTGATACTAACCAATGACAAAGTTATGAGCTGAATTGTGTCCCTCCTCTCAAAGAAATTTATATTCAAAGTTCTACTTCACAATGTGACTATATTTGGAGATAATAAAAAAAGGTAATTAAGGTTAAATAAGGTCATAAGTGTGCAATTTTAATCTAACAGGGCTGTTTTCCCTATAAGGAGAGGGAACAACACCAGAGATCATGTTCTCTCTTCCTGCAGACACACAGCAAAGGGGTTATATGAGGATATAGCAAGAAGGCAGCAGGCTGCAAGCCACTAAGAGACACCTCTCTAAAAACCAGCCAAGATGGCACTTGATCTTGGATTTCTAGGCTCTAGAACTATAAGAAAATAAATTTCTATTGTTTAAGCCACCCAGTTTTGCAAATATCTAGAGTTAGAAATGCCATTTGGGGTCATGAGGGGATTTCAGAAACATTATAATGAGCAAAAACAGATTTCTTGGTTCTCTGCAAATTCCTTTACATATTATTTTATTTTATGCCATTAATAATTTTATGTGGTATGTAGTCTTAATCTTATCAAAGACCAAAGCTCAGGAAAAGGTAAAGTAACTTGGTGACATTCGACTGGTAATTCTTCAGAGTCTGATTTCAAATCAAAGTCTACATGACTCTACAACCTAAATGCTCTATGACTCTACAAGCTTTGCTACCCTGTAACCTATTAGAATTTAAAGCCACCTTAACACAGTAATCAGTAGTTCCCCAAACCCATATTGAAAACTACAAAACTGCATCTGAAGAGCCTTGTAAAATTACAATTTTCAGGTCCTACCAACATTTTTAATTCAGTAGCTCTGGGATGAATCCTGTATTAGGCAGGATTCTCCAGGAAAGCAGAACCAATAGCATATATACAGATATATATGAACACAGCACAAAGACATTTATTAGAGGAATTGGCTCACTTGATTACAGAGGCTGAAAAGTCCCATACCATCCCCTCTGCAAGCTGAAGAATCAGGAAAGCCAGTGGTGTAAGTTCTGGAATCTGAAGGCCCTAGGACCAAGAGCTCAGATGTCCAAGAACAGGAGAAGTTGGATATCCGAGCTCAAGGTGAAAGGGGCAATTTGCGTTTTCTCTGCTTTTTTGTTCTATCCTATCCTTCAAAGAATTGAATGGTGCCTGCCCACATTGTTGAGGCCATCTTCCTTACTCAGTCTGCTGATTCAAAAGCTAATCTCTTCTAGAAAAATCCTCACAGACACACGCCAAAATAATGTTTCGCCAGCTATCTGGGCATTCCTTAACCCAAGTCAAGTTGACACATACAATTAAGAATCATAGGTTTCTAAAAGCAATTAGGATATTACCACAGTTTTTTTTTTTATCTTTTTATTTGCAAGGTGATGTCAATAACCCTTTTTCTCTTTCACTACTTCTTTTTAGAGCTGCACTCTCCAATGTGATAGCGACCGGCAGCATGTGGTTATTGAGCACTTAATGATGGCCTAATGTTAAGGGCTAATCAGAATTTAGATATGAAATAAATGTGAAGCTTATATTGAAACTTAAAGACCTCATAAAAATAATGAATGCAAAATAACTCATTAACAAATTGTTGGTTACCTTTTGAAATATTTTAGATATAATGTGTTAAATAAAATATATTTTAAAATTAATATCACTTCTTTTTTTATCTGATAGGATTACTTTAGATATAAATTAAATATCAGTATAAAATTAAGTGCTTTCTTTGAAAAGACATTTATTAAACAGGAAGAATTTTGTGGGAAGGTGATGAAAATGCTATTGGTTATATTTTGGAATGCCAGTCTATGAAATGTAATTATTTCAATTCAAAGGAGCTATATATTCAAAAAGAAAAACTAGGTGATATTTTCTCTTGTGGTTCACTACTGTATGTCTTTGTATTTCTTTTTTCATGCTTGGAATTGATGTTCTGATGGATTACACAGTGCAACATTTATGACGAAAGTAGCTTTAGAAAAGACTGTTAAAAAACCACCATTAGCCCTAGAGTTCTTAGCAAAGTTATTGACATCAGAATGTTTTGTTATAATATTAAATTTTTTCAAACATTCCTGATACTATTTATATAGTCATTCAAAGCAAAGCTAGCATGATATTCTTCTGTCTTGACTATTGCATTACAACTACATTACTTCTCACTGAGGCAGGCATTCACCTGAAGATACATTCTGCTGAAGCACAGAATTTCTTATAAACCTCCTAGGTCACGGATTTAATCTAATACTGTGCACTGATTATAAAACCTTTTAGTGTTCTTATATGTCATATTATTATATTTATTTTTCTTAGTACTACAATTTTGAAAGTTATAAATTTCCCTATTTATTAGACTCACATCTGTTTCAAGACCTCTCATTCTTAGCTACGGAACTCACATTGTATATGTATTTTAGGTTTTTAATATATACCACATTATGGTTGTTTTATAGATTAAATGAGAGATAATTTACATTTTGAAAAAGATAAATGCTGGTAATGCAACTTGTTCACCCCTTCTTCCTCTTCTTTCCCCTTTGGTTATTTTGCAAACACTTTGTTAGTTTAGGGATTCACATGTTTGCCTCACATTTTTAAATAGTTGTGTTTTTATACAGAAAAAACAAAATTTCTACTTCAAAGTGTATACCAGTGAGCATTTGGGTAAGAAAACACCTCCAAAATCTAGTAATTCAAATCAAAACAACTATTTAAGTGATGCGTCTGCAGGGTATATATTAGGCTAGTGTAGTAGTTCTCTGCTATTGCAAATTACAACTTTAGTAACTTTATTACAAATTTAGTAACTTAACAGAAATTTATTATCTTACAGTTTTGAAGATTAGAAGTCTGAAATATGTCTTACAATGCTAAAATGAAAATGTCAGCAGAGCTGTCTTCCTTCTGAAAACGTTTTTCCCTTCCTTCCATTCTTCATCTTCAAGAGGCCACTTGTATTCTTTGGCTCATAGCACCTTCCTCTCTGTCTTCACAGCCAGCAGTGTAGCATCATTAAGTTCCCTTTTCTCTTTGACCTCTGCTTCTGTCAGAACATCTCCTCTGACATTCCTGCTTCTCTCTTTTAAGGACCCTTATGATTACACTGAGCCCACACAAATAATCCAGCATAACCTATTGATTTTAAGATTAAATCACATCTGCAATGTCCCTTTTGCCATTTAAAATAATATATTCACAGGTTCCAGGGATAAGAACATGGATATCTTTGGGGGACCATTATTCTGCCTTCTACAGCTGGTAACAGCTAAACTCCCTCGTGGTCCTACTTTTGAATTGGGGATCAGCTAGGCAGATCTGCTTCTGCAGCTAATTGCTGGCCCTCTTTCACTTGTCTCATCCTTCATGTGTCTATCACCAACCTGCAGGAGGCCAGGCTTGCTATGGACACATGGCATGAACAAAGATTAGGGGAGAATGTCAGTAGAAGCATGCAAACTGCTTAAGGTCTGGGTTAGAACTGGCCACTCTATTACTTCTGCTTCTTTTTATTTTTTTGGCCAAAGTAAGTAAAACTATACCTGATACAAGTGGTGGGAAAACAGATTCTGCCTCTTAATGGGAGTAGCTGCAAAGCCAAATTGCCAAGGACATGGATTCAGGAAAACTCTTAACTGGGGCCATCCAGACAATCTGGCTATCACAATGGGTCACAAGTATTCAAGTTTACTAAAAATAATATATAATGATTTGCACTGAATAAATTGATGATCTTGAATTTGAATCCATTTATTTTCTTCATGTAGCATAATTGTGTTAAAAAATTACAGTGTACTGAGGGTTAGATGGTTATAACTGATATCTCTCAAGTTATTAAGGGGGTTGTAGGTAGTAGTCACTTAAGAACTCAAAATGTCACTTGATTATAGCTAGGCCACTGATATGGTTTGAATATATGTCCCTGCCCAAATCTCATGTGGGATTCTAATCCCCAGTGTTGGAAGTGGGAAGTAGTGGAAGGTGTTGGGATCATAGGGGTGGATCCCTCTTGAATGGCTTAGCCCAACCCTTTGGTGATAAATGAGCTTTCACTCTGAGTTCTGGGGAGATCTGGTCATGTAAAAATGTGTGTCACCTCTCCTCCCCTGCAGAGTCTCTCCTCTCTCTTTCCATGTGATGTACCTGGTCCCATTTTCCCTTACTCCATAATTGTAAGCTCAGGCCTCCCCAGAAGCATATGCCACTATGATTCCTGTGCAGTCTGCAGAACCATGAACCAATGTAAACCTTTTTAAAAATAAATTACCTAGTCTAGGGTATTTCTTTATAGCAATGCAAGAATGGACTAATACAGAAAATTGGTACTGAGGAGTGGGGGATTTCTGTAAAGACCTGAAAATGTAGAAGCAACTTTGGAACTGGGTAATGGGCAGAGGTTGGAATAGCTTAGAGGGCTCAGAAGAAGACAGAAAGAGACAGAAAGGTTGGAACATCTTAGAGACTGGTTAAACGGTTGTGACCAAAATACTGATAGTGATATGGGCAATAAAATCCAAGTTGTAGAGATCTCAGATGGATACAAGGAACTTATTGAGAACTGGAGCAAAGGTCATGCATGTTATGCCTTAGCAAATAAATTGACTGCATTCTGTTCATGCCCTACGCATCTGTGGACGTTTGAGTTTGAGATATGATGACCTAGGATATCCGGCAGAAGAAATTTCTAAGCAGCAATGTGTTCAAGATATAGTCTGGCTGCTTCTAACAACCTATGCTCAGATTTAGGAACAAATGAATGACTTAAAGTTGGAATTTATATTTAAACAGGAAGCAGAGTGTAAAAGTTTAAACAATTTGCCCCTGGCCATATAGCAGAGAAAGGAAAAGCTCTTTTGGAAGAGGAATTTAAGCAGGCTGTGGATCAACCTCATGCTAGAGAAATTTGGTTAACTAAAACAGAGCCAAATGGTAATAAACAAAACAATGGTTAAAAGGCCTCAAATGCATTTCAGAGATCTTCCAGGCAGCCCTTTCCATTGCAGGCCCTGAAGCCTATAAAGACTGAATGGTTTCATGGCCCAGCCTAAAGTCCCACTGTTTTGTGCATCCCAAGACACTGCTCCACATATATGCCTACTCTAGCTCCAGCTAGGATTCTAAGAGACTCGGGTATAGCTTGAGTTGCAACTTTGGAGAATGCGAGCCATAAGCCTTGGCAGCTTCTATGTGGCATTAAGCCTGTAGGTGCACAGAATACAAGAGTGAAGAACGGTTGGTAGCCTCCACCCAGATTTCAGAAGATTTATGAGAAAGCTTTGGTGCCCAGGCAAGTGCCTGCTGCAGTGGGGAAGCCTTCACAGAAAACCTCTGCTAGGGAAGTTGAAAGGAAAATGTGGAGTTGCAATCTCCATACAGAGTCCCTAATAAGGCACTGCCTAGTGTAGCTGTGAGAAGGGAGGCATTGTCCTCCAGAACCCAGAATGCTATATCCATTAGCATTATGGACCCTGCATCTGGAAAAGCCACAGGCATTCAACTCCAACCCATGAGAGCAGCCCTGGGAGCTGAACATGCAAAGTCACAGGAGCAGAGCTGTCCAAGGCCTTGAAAGCCCACCCCTTGCAGCAGTGTGCCCTAGATGTGAAACAGAGTCAAAGGAGATTACTTTGGAGGTTTACGATTTAATGACTGCCCTGCTGGGTTTCGAATTTGCATGGGTTCTGTAGCCCCTTTCTTTTGGTCAATTTATCCCTTTTGGAATGGGAATGTTTACCCAATGCCTATACCTCATTGTATCTTGGAAGTATATAACTTGCTGTGATTTCACAAGCTCATAGGTAGAAGGAACTCATTTACAGATAAGAGTTTGGATTTGGGACTTGGGATTTTTGAGTTAATGCTGGAATGAGTTAAGACTTTGTGGGGACTACTGAGAAGGGATGATTGTATTTTGCAATATGAGAGGGACATGAGATTTGGGAAGGGCCAGGGATGGAATGATAAACCTCTTTTCTTATAAATTACTAAGTCTCAGAAATGTCTTTATAGCAACGCAAGAAGGGCCTAATACAGCCACCCCTTAGTCTGACACCATCCTTTCCCAAACTACAATCTGATTCAACTAGCTAGTACTTCTTTTTGTGTTATTTGAACCTTAAAGATTTACTTGGAATATAACTACCACTTCAGAAGAAAGTGTCAGGTATCAGTGTAATCCAGGCTCAACCACTCACCAACTTTGTGTCTATGAGCAAGTTACATAATACAATTTAAATGTTAAGTGCTCAATACTTGCTACAAATTATCAAATGTGCTTGTCTAATGATCCATGTTTTCCTGAGCAGCAGAGCACACCCAGGGAACAGAGAAAAAACTACAGGATATTTGTTAACATAGGTCATTATATACATATTTGTGCCAAGATTAGATTGACTGTCAGTTTAGCTAATTATCAGATTTTCATAGCAAAATAGGAATTTCATGAAATGTATAACACACACATGCTATGGTGTGACCTATCAATGAATTATCATTTTCAAATATTTTTGCAATGACAAAAAGAACTCTGTGCCATATACAGAGATTTTCTCTTAAGCCTAGGTGCCAAAGTTTTAGGCTGAATTCCTTTTGCCTTATTTAGGGGTCAGGGAATAGGAAGCACACAGATTAGTTTAATCAGTAACTTATTTGTAAATTAATAACTAGGAAACAGTATTTGTTTGATATTGAATATCATTTTATGAAGATGCGGAATTGCATGTGACTCATACGTCTAATACTGATTCTAAAAAATTGCCATGTTAAAGTTTAAAAATTACTGCTCTTGAGTAGCTAAATTTAGGAATATATATAAAATGTGATTTTACCTTTATTTACCTCTTAAAGAAAAAAGTTAGTTATACAGAAATTAGATTTCTATTCTCAAAATAGTCATTTTGAGAATAGCACACCTTAAATGTGTGCTATTACTATGGATGTGAAAGTGATTCTTGTTTCATTATAACGTAAAGCTTGCCCTCTAGTGGTTTCAGGCTAGTTATTTATTCAGGGAAAACAATTTAATGGAAGATTCACTACTCAAAACTCAACAATGGTATACTTCTTCTATTTCTTCAGGACTAGCATGCTAATAATGTAAATATTATGAGCAAAATACAGCAACTCCTAAGAAATATATATTAGAAAAGTATGTCTTCTATAGACGCCACCAATAATTTTTTAAAACCAAATATATTTTTAATAAACATGGAATATTTATTAAAAGTTAAATTAAAATGTTAGGCTTCATTTTTTTGTTTTAATTGTCAACAGCTCTACTAATATTGTGATTGACAGTATTGTCTCAGTCCTTTCCTGGGCATGTGCACAGTCCTGAGTATGTGTGTAGCCTCCTAGATTTCTTGGTTATGTTTAGCTTTGCAAAGTTTCTTATGATCATGTCAGTCCTCAGTATTTTCTTTTGTATTTTGGTCAAGTTCTTGTTCCTCCCAACAAATAAAGCCACATTAGGCAGCTGTGATGTTAAACAATTGCTGTTGATTATTTTTGGCAAAATCCTGAGAAGAGGGCTCTTCACAAACAGCGAGAGCTCCAACTAAGGTCAGATAAAGACAAAACCTGAGAATAGTGCTTTCTAACAAGCTGCCAGACACGTAAAGTAGTGACAAATCTCTGCAGACAGGACTTCTAGGGAGTTCCTACCTTATTCTGCCTCACTTAGTGGCTGCCAAACTGCTGGTTTTAATAGCTATTGCATTTGGAAGACTAGATTTCTTTTTTTAAAAAAAATTATTTAAATATCTTTTGGGGTACAAATGATTTTTCGTTACATGGATGAATTATATAGTGGTCAGTTCTGAGATTTTAGTGCACTGGTCACCCGAGTAGCATACATTGTGTAGTAATGTAGTAATGTAATGTGTAGTTTTTTATCCTTAACTTCTCTCCCACCCTTCCCATTCTAAGTCTCTGAAGTCGATCATATCACTCTGTATGCCTTTGCATACTCATAGCTTATCTCCCACGTATAAGCTTATAAGTGGTTTTCTACTCCTGTGTTACTTAGAATAATGATCTCCAGCTCCATCCAAGTTGCTGCAAAGGACATTATTTCATTCTTTTTAATGGCTGAGTAGTATTTCATGGTGTACATATTCCACATTTTCTTTATCCACTCATTAGTCAATGGGCGGTTAGGTTGGTTCCACATCAATTGCAACTGTGAATTGTGCTACTGTAAGAAGACTAGCTTCTCGATTTATTTTTTCTTTTTATTATTGTGAGAAAAAGTCTCAGTTTATTGTTCAGGCTGGAGTTCTGGAGTTCAAAGGTGTAATCATAGCTTACTGTAGCTTCTAAATCCTGGGTTCTGCCTCAGTCTTCTGAGTAATTGGGATTACACATGAAAACTATCACACCTGGCTGAAAGACTTGATTTCTAGGGTTATCTTGAAGCTGAAGAGAGAGGGATGAGATTAGGGAAAGTTAAAATGCCATAAATTGCAATATTCTTACATATTCAGCCATTTTCTTCTTGTGTAAACACTTCTCAAATTGTTACAACACTTTGATTAATGTCTAGAGTTCAGGAAAAGTTGATTTTGATAGTTTTTGCATGTGTTTCTGTTGCTTTCATAGAGGAGTAGATTTTCAGAGGTCTTACTCTGCCATTTTAGAAGTCAAAACTCCTCAAGTTTTAAAAGTACCATTTGTTGGTTCTTATTTGGTATTGCCCTAAACTAGCGAATTAATGTAAGAATTTTAATTTATAGTATTTTCTTTTTCAATTCAAGTATATAATGATGCTTCATTTTTTTTCTGTCCATATATTAAATGTCTCAGTTAAGTTTTGTTGTGTTCTATGTTCTTATTATATTATCCAACTGGTTTATGCTGGTCTGAAGAAAAGCTATTAATTTCTTCTTTTTTTTACATTGCTGCTCTACTGAACCCTCTTGTTAATTCTAATAGCTTTCAGTTTATTTTCTTGGGTGGCTAGTGTAGGGAAAAGAAAGAGAGATCAGACTGTTACTGTGTCTATGTAGAAAGGGAAGACATAAGAGACTCCATTTGGAAAAAGACCTGTACTTTGAACAATTGCTTTGCCGAGATGTTGTTAATTTGTAGCTTTGCCCCAGCCACTTTGACCCAACCACTTTGATCCAATCTGGAGCTCACAAAAACATGTGTTGTATGAAATCAAGGTTTAAGGGATCTAGGGCTGTGCAGGACGTGCCTTGTTAACAAAATGTTTACAAGCAGTATACTTGGTAAAAGCCATTGCCATTCTCTAGTCTCAATAAACCAGGGGCACAATGCACTGCGGAAATCCGCAGGGACCTCTGCCCTTGAAAGCGGGGTATTGTCCAAGGTTTCTCCCCATGTGATAGTCTGAAATATGGCCTCGTGGGATGAGAAAGACCTGACCGTCCCCCAGCCCGACACCCGTAAAGGGTCTGTGCTGAGGTGGATTAGTAAGAGATGAAAGCCTCTTGCAGTTGAGATAGAGGAAGGCCACTCTCTCCTGCCTGCCCCTGGGAACTGAATGTCTCGGTATAAAACCCGATTGTACATTTGTTCAATTCTGAGATAGGAGAAAAACCGCCCTATGGTGGGAGGTGAGACATGTTTGCAGCAATGCTGACTAGTTATTCTTTACTCCACTGAGATGTTTGGGTGGAGAGAAATATAAATCTGGCTTACGTGTACGTCCAGTCATAGTACCTTCCCTTGAACTTAATTATGATGTAGATTCTATTGCTCACATGTTTTTCTCCTTATTATCACCCTGCCCTCCTACTACGTTCCTTTATGCTGAAATAATGAAGATAATAATCAATAAAAACTGAGGGAACTCAGAGGCCGGTGCTGGTGCAGGTCCTTGGTATGCTGAGCGCCGGTCCCCTGGGCCCACTGTTGTTTCTCTATACTTTGTCTCTCTGTCTTCTTTTCTCAGTTTCTCATACCAGCCGACTAGAAATACCCACAGGTGTGGAGGGGCAGGCCACCCCTTCAGCTAGCAGGAGTCTTAATTTTTAAGTGCAGTCTTATACTTAATGTTTGCTGTGTACGTATATTTTCCCATTAATTAAACCCAGAGTTGAAATAGATTTCTTTAAGGATTATGACTTTTAATTCTGAAACACTTGCTAATAATCTCAAGGGCCTATCTCCACATAGCTGTGTTAATAATGGTCCAACTTATATGGTGAGGGCAGAAATCATCCTGGCTAATAAAATAGGTAGTTCTAGTTATGCTTTGTGAAATATGCCAAACAAACAAAGGCATGTAGGAGGTACTTTTTATATTTATCTACTCCCTTGCAAAAGAGCTTGGAATGACAGTGAGAAAAGTGAGGCAACTGCCTCAGGCATAAAATTTAAGGAGTTACCACAAAACTCAACAATCAAATAATATCTCAAGAAATATTTAAATATTAAAAAGTAATGCAAAATGGATGAATAAAATATCTAAGTTTTAAATGCAGACTAAGTTTTAAATGTGTAGTAGAGTCTGAGGTGAAATAAAAAAACAAAAACAGTATATACTCCAGTTACCTCATACCTTAGTCCAATCCCTGAAATAATTTATAATAGTAATTTTAGGTTTTTAAAAAATGTGATATGATTATATTTTTGAATTAGAAGAAATTTATCATGAGTAGATGTATCCCATTTTATTCAAAAATAACTGTATATGTAGTATTTTCATTGGCTATAATTTCATTGTTGGAGAAATAGCCACACATGGCATTCAGTGGCACTGAACATAGAGCAGACATTCTTCAAGACTTTTAGCATCACAGTAGTGAAAGGGATCTCCAAATGTTGCTGCCCCAAGTCAACAGTACTGTTTCACTTCTTTATATGTAGCCTTCCTAGAAGATGGGAGAGATTATACTGAATAGATACTTGTGATTAAACAACACACAGAAGAAAGTTTTGAAGAATAACTTTGTAGTTTTGATTTGTTAACTTGACAAAAAAGCAATGAAGTCCTCATGATGCTCAGGAGAAATGGTTGATTGGAAATATAAATTTGGGGATAGAGAATTATTGTTAGATAAGATCGTCAGGAGAATGAATAGAGATAGATTAGTTAACTAAGAAATGAACCTGGGGAATGCCAGCACTTAAAGATTGGAGACATCACAAGATCTGCAGAACGGACTGAGAAGGAGTGTCCTTTTAGACAGAAGAAAACAAAATTATGATAGTATTTTGAATATTTAACAGAGGCAATCATTGGTGCTATTAATAAGAGTTGTAGAGGGTAGTGAGAGGAAAACTTAAAATAGTGGGTTCATGAGAAAAGAGGAATTGGAGATTCGAAGTACAGAGAAATCTCTCAATGAATTCTGTGGTAATGGGAGGAGAGAAATGGTGCTGCCCCAGAAAGAAAAATAAGATCGAGAGTCATTTATGTTTCATCATGACAGAAATAACAGCATATATTTGAGCTCATAAAATCATCAAGTATGAAGAAAAAATTGACAATCATGAGAATGAGAAGAGAATTTCTGGAACAGTGTTCATAAATAGACAAAAGAGCATGGGAACTATCACATATGAAAGGAAATAGCCTTGGACAGGAGAGTATTCATGAAGGCAGAATGCACGGGTACAGATGTAGAAGGTTGGTACTTAGAGTAGTGGGAGTCTATAAAAGATTTTCTCTGATTGTTTTAATTTTCTTAGTGAAGAAGAAATAAAGTCAACAGATGAGAGTCACGGTCAAGAGTAGAGATTATTAGAGATTGAGGGGGCAAGACTATCTCTTTTGATATAATCTCTCATGTTTCCCCCCAGATTTTTTTGCATCTCTAAAAATTGTCTTATAAATTTGTATTTATTTTTAAAATTTTTGAATTTTTGAGTTTTGGAACCAATGCAACTGGAGAGCATAATCTTATACTTGGATCTGACACTATTTTCTCCTCAGGTTTTTCTGCATCTTTCGCCTCTCTGCCTTCTGTGTCTCTCTCTCTCTTCTAAAATTCTTCCTCTTTTCCCCTTCCTTTTGTTCAAATTCTATCACATTTTCCCTTATGACCTTACTGACATAAATGTTTTATTTAGTTTTCAAGTATTTTGGAAGCTAATTAATTATTGCTACAATGTTGTTCATGATCATGCAAATGATTGAAAATGAGCTAGTTTTATTTAATTTGGGACAAAATAGTGCAGTTAAAAGTAGCTGAAAAAATTCTTCATAAAGTATCTGTATAATATATAGTAAAATGAAGACTATAAGGGCAAGTATTATGGAAATATATTTATTTCTAAATAGAATAAATAAATCTGGTATACTAAAAGGCTAATTTTTTAGGTTCCACCTGACGTAATGAGAGTCCTTTACTGGTATCTAAAGTTTATTTGAATGAGAATTGTCTTATAACTTATTATTAGGAGAGAAATTTAATATACATTAATTAAAAATAAGCAAGAGAGATGAGATTCTTCTGATTCTATTTTCAGAGGGTTTGTTAAATAATTATTAAGATAGATTTTATAAAATAGAATTATAGGAAAATAATGTAATTAAATTTTTTAAAATTATGTATTTGTTGTAAACTGTGTTTCACTAGGATACCACATGGAGAGAAAATTATTTTTACTTTTTGGCAATGCTTGTGCGTTTTAATCTATTAATACTAATAATAGTACAGAGTTGATAGACCTTCTCATATTTATGCTATTCTGAAAATATAATTTTAATACCAAGACTATATTTACTTTGATGAATATTAAAGTCATTAAGTTTTCAAAGTGCACCCTCATTTAGACTGTCTACCAAACATTTTCGAGTCAGGCATTTATTGAAAGTGCATTTTTTACAATGAAATATAGCTAGTTCTCAAATTTATTATTTAATGTACATATTGACAAGGAAGACATTTAAGTAGACACATTACATATACATATATGCAAATGGCATGAAGTAAGAGTACTGATTATCTGGTTCTGATTTCGGTGAGCAAGGATGAATTACTCCACATAAACAATATTATATCAATGTGAATTCGTGTGTTTTAGTTAACCTTGATTTATAACCTTGATTATAACCAAGTGTTTGGTTGGCATTTGCACTATCCAAATCAGGAATCTTTAGTTCAGAATGTTTAAGCACTTCAATATTGTCATTAAAGTCTATATGGGGACATTTAATAATTGTCATTAGGGGTGCATGCAGTATTTTTTTAATTGATGAGTAATATTAAAACACATGCTTTTAAAACACATGATTTTACAGTTTCCCACCCTTGCATGCATAACAAGTAAGAAAATGGCAAGTCTGACATTCTCACACATAGGGAGTTCCACTTTAGGTTTAGAAATCTGTTTAGTCCTGGGCTTCTGATTAACTAGAATACTCTGCCAACCAATCTGACTAGACATGTGGTGTGGCTGATCCCGCCATCAGAAGAGTGTTAACTCTACCTCAGCGTGAAACTTTTCACAAGGTGCTCCCTGGAATGTCTCAGGATAGAGTGAGATCTCCACTAAGCCTGTATGAACAGATTGCTTGGCTGTTTTGTTTCTTCTCAATGTTTGTATCTTTATCAGAAATTGGAATAAGACTTGCAGTTATTGTGACATACCAGCTGGCATAGAGATAATGGGAGACAAGTTGAATAGCTCCTACCTACCTCAAACTGCCAAAGGCTACCAATATTTACTCAAAGTACATAACACTTGCTTCACAGACAAATTAACATAGGTCCATTCAACGCAACTAGATAAGAAGAAACTCCTGAAGGTGCTTTGCAAATTACTAAAGCTTCGGAAGCACAGACTTTTCCAGACTATCTTCTCTAATTAAAAAGTCATCATTTAATGAGTGTGAATTCTAACTGTGTTTAAATGAGAGAAGAGATCAGCCATTAAGAATGGAATACATTTAAAAATCACTGAAGAATTTTCAATCACAACCTATTTTCAGTGGGCAAGAATTCAACTGAGGTTAGATAAAGCCAAACATTACCAGTGTCAGACAATGTTCAACTAGACGTAGAGGGCATTTTATGTGAACTCTTAGATCACACGTGTAGAGAGGCCATGATCCTAGAAAGAGATTTGTCAAAGGAGCACTGATCCTGGGCTGCTTTTTTTTTTCGCTAATCTCAAAGACATTCTTTGTATAACCCAGTGATCATGCTACACTTCACAATCCACTCTTCCATATGACTAATTCATACTATCTCCTCTTCTTCAACCTTTAACATCCACTTCTACACTTGCTTGATAAATTGGAGGAGAACTTTCACATGCTTCCATATCATGTCTACAAGTCTACAATCTACCTGTAACTGTACAAATACTCCTGGTTTTCCTCTTATTATTCCGAATGAATTCTCAGTGTTTCTAGGCAAAATCCTCCCTCCCTCCCCGTCCTCTCTCTCTCTTTCCTTTCCTTTCTCTTTCTCTCTTTCTCTCTCTCTCTCCTTTCTTTCTTTTTCACTTATTTTTGAGAGAGTCTTGCTCTGTCACCCAGGCTTGAGTGCAGTGGTGTGACCTTGGCTCACTGCAACCTCTGCAAGTTCAAGCAATTCTCCCTGCCTCAGCCTCCCCAGTAGCTGGGATTACAGTAGCCCGCCACCATGCCCAGCTAAAAATCCTCACTTCTTTTGTGCTAGAATCTATCTGATTTTACTTGCATAATCCAATAATTCCAGTAATTTTTCTCCTCTTTTTTAGAAATCATATTTTCTCTTCCATTCTATGGATTTTTTAATATCTACTTTTATTTCTCAAATTCTAAAAAGAAGTTTCTTTTTATTCTAGTATTAAATGAAATAGTCAAATCTCAGTCTTCAATTTATTTGACCTATTAGTAACATTTAATTCAGTTGTTTACTTCTTCCTTCTTGAAGCACATCCACCTCTTTCCACCTGGCTTACAGGAAAGCAAATTGCTTTTTATTTTCTTTCCCTCACAGGCCTCTAGTTGTCAAAACATTTAAATAGATATCTTAAACTTAACAAGTCCAAAACAGAACTCTTTTCACTTCTAAATCTGCTCTTCTCACAATCTTTCTCTTCTAATCTGTGGCAACTTCATTCTTCCAATTACTCATAAATATTAAAGTTACCCTTAACTCTTCTCTTTCTCTTGTCCCCTATATTAAATCTGTCTGGGCCGGGTACAGTGGCTCACGCCTGTAATCCCAGCACTTTGGGAGGCCAAGGCAGGTGGATCACGAGGTCAGGAGTTCAAGACCATCCTGGCCAAGATGGTGAAACCCCGTCTCTACCAAAAATACAAAAAAAAAATTAGCTGGGCGTGGTGGCAGGCACCTGTAATTCCAGCTACTCAGGAGGCTGATGCAGAGAATTGCTTGAACGTGGGAGGCGGAGGTTGCAGTGAGCTGAGATTGCATCACTGCATTCCAGCCGGGGTGACAGAGCGAGACTCTTTCTTAAAACAAAAAAAAAAGCCTGTAATCCCAGCACTTTGGGAGGCAGAGGCGGGCATATCACGAGGTCAGGAGATCAAGACCATCCTGGCTAACACAGTGAAACCCCATCTCTATTAAAAAAAATACAAAAAAATTAGCCGATCGTGGTGGCAGGCACCTGCAGTCCCAGCTACTCAGGAGGCTGAGGCAGGAAAATGGCGTGAACCCGGGAGGCAGAGCTTGCAGTGAGCCGAGATCGTGCCACTGCGCTCCAGGCTGGGCAACAGAGCTAGACTCTGTTTCAAAAAAAAAAAAAATCTGTCTGCAAATTCTGTTGACCCAATCTTCAAGCTATACCCAGAACATGACTATAGTATAAACACCTTTGCCCTGGAATAAGACATTATTATCTCTTACCCAGTTACTGGACACATTTTCTAATTTTCACTCTTTCTTATGGCTGTGTATAGTTTATTCTCAGTATTAGCAGCTAGCAATGATCCTTCGTAGGCTTTCTAATTCTTACATTAAGAGGTAAAGTCTTCGTAATAGTCTATAAGGTCCTCCATGATTTGGTCACCCATCTCCCCTCAGCCCACATCTTCTATTTTTCTTCTAGTGCCACACTCTGCCTAAGTCTCATAGGTCTCCTGACTCTTTCTGACACTAGATGTTACCGACAAGTCTTTGTTCTTACGGCTCCCAAGATGGTTGTGAGCCGCTCCCAAGATGGTGGCTGGTGGCTCCCAAGATGGTGGCGGGCAGCTCCCAAGATGGCGGCAAGACTTTTGTTCTCTGACCTGGGGTTCTTGACCTCACAGATTCCAAGGAATGGAACCTTGGGCCATGCAGTGAGTGTTATAGCTCTATTAGAAGCTGTGGGTCACGGAAGAGAACTGTGGAACCCAGCAACTAGTGTTCAGCTCTATTTGGACGAACCCAGGCACTTGGCCATGCAGGAACAATGGCGAGCCTCTAGCCCGATCCAGTGTGGCAATGGGTGTCTTGCTGGATCAGGAGCACAGCAGAGACCCTGCTGGATCCGGAGGGGTGGAAGTCAGTGGCAGGTCTGCGACAGTGGCAAACAGCAGGGGTGGACAGCGAGTGAAAGCTCAGCTCGAGCCGTAACAAACACAGACCAGAAGAGTGTGCAGTTGCAATATTTAATAGAGTGAAAGAGCTCCCATACAATAGGAGGGGACCCAAAGAGGATTGCCCCCCAAAGTGGGTTGCCACTCCCGGCTTGAATGCCTGGGGTTTATATTCCAATCATTGTCTCTCCCCCCTGTGCTCTCAGATGATAGATGATTTGACTTTTCTTTACCTCCTGCTTTTAGCCTAATTCGTATTTTAGTGAGCCCTCTTTACTACCTGATTGGTCGAGTGTGAGCTGAGTTACAAGCCCCATGTTTAAAGGTGGGTGCAGTCACCTCCCCAGCTAGACTTAGGAATTCTTATTTGGCCTGGGAAATCCAGCTAGTCCTGTCTCTCATAAATATGCACCTAGCAAGAATTATTCATCTACTGTGCCCCATACCTGAAAAACTCTTCCCCCTATTTATACATATGGTTTACTTCCTTGACATTTTTAAGTCTTTAAAACATATCACCACCTCTATAATACACTCTGATCACCCTTTTAAATTTGCAAATGGGCCCTCAACCTCTGGATCTATCTATCCCTCTTTCCATTTCCATTTTTAGCCCTTGCTCTTAACACCTTCTCACGTTCTGAATATTTTGCATATGTATTTTATCATATTCTCCCAACTCAGAAATATTATATCTTTGAGAAGTTCCCTTTCTTCCTTTCCTTTCCCTTCCTCTCTTCCTTTGTCCTTTCCTTCCTTTTTCTTTCTTTCTCTTTCTTTCTGTTTCTCTCTCTCTTTCTTTCTTTTTCTCTTTTTTCTTTCTTATTTTTTCTTCTTTCCCTCCCTCCCTCCCTCCTTTTCTGCCTGCCTTCTTTCCTTCCTCCCTTCCTTCCTTTTCTTCTTTTTCTTTTACTTATTATTTTTACTTAAAAATTAATATGTGGCTCAGTTATCTTTCCTTTGGAAAGTACTGATCTGGACAATAGCTGGGAGGAAAAGGACTACCTGGAGAGTCAGTCTTTGTAGGCTTTATAGTAAAGCCTTAGTTTGTCAGCAAAGATGACAGCTGAGCTTTTACATTAAGACAAAGATGATTAGGGCACACTCAATGACATTTTTAAGACAACAATTCCTGCTATTTTCTTCTGTTCTTTTTTTTTTTTTTTTTGAGACTAAGTCTCATTCTGTTGTCCAGCCTGAAGTGCAGTGATGCGATCTCAGCTCCACCTCCTGGGTTCAAGGAATTCTCTTGCCTCAGCCTCTCGGGTAGCTGGGACTACAGGCGGCACCACCATACCTGACTAATTTTGTTGTATTTTTAGTAGAGACAGGGCTTCACCGTGTTGGCCAGGCTGGTCTCGAATTCCTGACTTCAAGTGATCTGCCTGCCTTGGCCTCTCAATGTGCTGGGCTTACAGGCATGAGCCACTGTGCCCGGCCCTTCTCCTATTCTTTAATAACCTAGAAAGCATCTCTTTGCTATTTTTATTGTCTCTATTTATGCAATTAAAAGTTTAAGAAACATTTAACGTGTCATTGAAATAAATCTCTAATAATATTGTGTACCTTGGTATCTTATCAAGCAAAAACTGAGTTACATTTCTTTGATGAAAACTTGGTAAAATTGATACTTCAGTGGTTACCATCTCTACACAGGAAAAATACAGGCTTAATCTCTTGACTCTAAATAAATTAATTATGGCCTGGATGTGTTTTTTGTAATGCAGTATATATTATTTACTTCACACAATCCCTCTTCAGCATTACAAAGTGAATAAAGGTTGAGTATCCCTTATCCAAAATGCCTGGGGCCAGAGTGTTTCAGATTTCAAATTTTTTCAGATTTGAAATATGTATACAGACATAATGAAATATCTTGGGGATAGGACCCAAGTTTAAACGCAAAATTTACTTATGTTTCATATACACCTTATACACATAGCCTGAAGCTAATTTTATTCAATATTTGAAACAATTTTTTGCATGAAATAAAGTTTGTATACATTGAACTAACAGAAAGCAAAGGTGTCACTATCTCACATTGGTGCTCAAAAAGTTACGAATTTTGGAGCATTTCAGTTTTCACATTTTTGGGTTAGAAATGCTCAATCTATATTAACATCACGTTTGGCAAGATGCATCAAGGATTTCTGCCAGGATATGTTTAGCTTGATTGCTAGGAACGTATATGATCTGGGACAGAAAGCACTATCTAATTGATTTATAAAAAGTAACTAAGGGAACTTTTAGAAGATGAGGTTTTTCTCACTTCAATGTATGTCTGATGTGTGGCAATTATATGCCACATATTATTTCAAAAAGAATTGCTTAATTTTTTGTATAATCTGACAGTAATTTGATTCCTCTTCTGTGGCACATTTAAAACCTTAGACTACATATTATTTTTTCATCAAATATATCAAAATGGTATTACACTGCATGTGTAGAAGTGTTATACTGAGATTGTAACAACAGAGGCCAGTAAAGCACTAGGCTTTGTGATTTCACAAGATGAAATTGCCTTAATAGTAGGAAGAAAAAAAACCAACATGTTTATTCTGGAGGATAAATATAAAACATGTATGCTTATTCAACTCTAATTATATATCAAAATACTTTATTTTCATATAGAAGAGAAAATGAAAGATTTTTAGAAATGGAAGAGTTTGGCACAGAAACTGAAAATCATATATGAGCTCTGAGCATATGGTTAAAATTTGAACTTTCTGTTGTCAGTGAGAGTTTTTATTCTTACTGTTTTATAATAGAGACTTTGGGGAAATGTGTATTTTTCAATTCATCTCCCAATTTTGCTTTGACCTTTGAATATTAATAATAAAGAGTCTAGTTACCTCCTATGAATCTCTTTTACAGTAATACAGTGAAATACATACAGTTTACTTACTACACATTTTTATGGGCCAGAGTGTAATCAATTAAAAGAAGGGGCATGCTCTGCGTTCATGAACACTTCTTTTTTCTTGTCAACAGATCTGCCTCCCAAAGTACAATTTTGATTTAATTTCATTGGCATTTTAGAATGACAAAGAGCAGATTTTTAAAAATATTAACTTGTTATATACTTCTTTTTCCAATATAATTTATTACAGCATAATATAGATTTATTTACTTTTGCCAAAATAAATATTGGCAAAAATAATGGAGACTGGCTAATTAAATTAGCTTTTAAAAAGTATAAGTCCATTTTCATCTCAACTGTTTTAGATAGGTCAATGGAAAAACCTTCAAGGCATAATAGATGAAAAATAAAGTTTTTAAGGTATAATGTATGAGAAAAATCTGTTCAACACATGGCAGATCTAACTTCATGTATTAAAAAGAAATTGACATTTTAAAATTGCTGTTTTTATGTTCCTTTCTGATTTCAATAGTGATATAGGATACAGTTTGGAGGCACAAATGCTAGAGAATTGAAGTTTTCTCTTTCTGCCAAATCTAACGTATGTATCTTAATTATTTAAATCTTATTTTACTCATATTATTTCATGCTTGAGTAAGAATGATGAGATGACCTTACTTACAGGCTGATGGTAAACTTATAAAGTACAATTTTAATTTAATTTCATCAACATTTTAGAACGATGAAGAGCACTTCATCATTCTAAAGAATGACACTTTTTGGTGTTTGAAATAGCATACTGTGTTGTTGTTACTATATATATATACAGTTTATATAAAATATTAGGACCTCCTTTCATAGAAACTATTCACAATAGACAGGGAAACCGTTTAGAGTATGAGTCTACATTTATGTGAGATAGAAAAGGAAGCAAAATTCAATCACTTCTTGGCTTTTTGGCTAAGATCAAGTGTAGAAAGCAAAATTCAGTTAATTTCAGTATAAATAAAGTTTTACCCAACTGACTGAGTAATAAATGATTCAAAATACTTTAGCAAATATCTGTTTGCCTCAGTATAGTGAAATAGTTGGCACTATGACTGCCTTAATTGAATATCATGAAAACAACAGCATCGTATATATTCTTCACTGTGGACTTGATTATAAATTATTTAATGACATCTACCTTCTGTACACTTGCTGTTGATGGTCTTACTCTTCATGAAGTTAGAAAATTATTTGGATTGAAGTAAAACAATTAAATAATCATACATGCTGTTGAGTTTATGTTAGTGACTTCAGTTATTATATGCTCCTTATGGCCCTCAATAGTGGCACTGTCAAAAGGAAGCCTCAGTTCTGCAAGACTGCGTATGCTACCGTTATGATGCATTTGAATCAGAACCAGGCCAACTGGCATATCATAAAGCTCAATGATAAATATAGAATAATTGTTTACAAATTTAGCTTGGCTTAACTTCAGCCACAAGTAGAATATATACACGTATTTCATGACAGAAACTATGATTTAAATAGATCTTTATTAGGGTTAGAATGAAACACATTCAAGACCTCTTGATTAATTGTCTGAGGGTCAGTTCAGGTCATTCATTTACTTGTGAATTGGACTGGTCTTAGAGTAGTGAATTAGAATTTAGAGCTTTCATATAATAAATTATATTTTCATTGCAGTCTTTATTCTTGGGGTTTCTTACTTTGTATGTATATATGTGTGTATGTGTATATTTATATAAATTTAATACAAATAAATGACAACTAGCACATTCCTAATACGGAAAAAAGAAGTAAAATATTTCTTTTAATGATTAAAAAGCTTGAATAAAGTCAACCCACATTTTTCAGTTAGGTCAGTTTTGCTATTTCTTCGTTTCTACCTGGAGCTCAAGAATAAGAACTTTTGAACTGGGAATGTAGCCACCTGAGAATGCCAGTAGGGTGAATAGTTCAACAAAACTGTAATACAACATTTTGATGTATTTGGAACCAAGATCAATAAAGAACTGTTTAAAGTATTTCACTAGAGGCATTAATGGGGCTGTTATCATTGAGCAGCTTCTCTTGGTAACTCCCATAGTGCTAATAACATAATAATATAGAACAAAATCCTAATAGAATAATAATTTCAGCTAGCAACTCAGAATAGAAACTAACTTTAATTATGAGTGCTGTGGGGTCATTTGTGTAAATGTTCCAAAGAAGTCAAGTGGTTGTTTGCATTAGAGTTACTAGGATTCCAGAACCTTTCAAAAAAGAAGCAATATGTCAGCTTATTTAAAACAGTGTAGACTATATATCAATTTGGCTAGCACTCTCTCCTCTCTCAAAGCTTTGCTCAAATCTTGCCCTCATATTGAAACCAACATACAAACCTTATTTACTAATAAGTCCACCACCTCAAGTCCCCAGTAGCCCCTGGCATTCTGATTCCTCTTTCTGCTCTATTTTTTTTCCTTTTCTCCATACCACTGTAAGACTTGAATTTTCAGGAAAGTATGACTCTTCTGAAATATGGAATCTTTCAGCAAAATAAATATGGTATTTGAACACATTAACAGGATGACTATATTCCAGACTGTAACTTAAGTATCTCTAAGTAAAGCTCTTCACCTAATTCAATCTTTATCTGAATCAAATTTCTACATCGTTGCTGATTTCCTTTCCCTTTCCATGATTGTAATACATCTAGTAGTAGCCGTGACATTTTTACATCACATTGCTACATTTTAGTTATAAAATTATAGTTGTTACAGTAATTTTAAAATATAAAATAAATTTGCTAGTATTGAAAAATGAAACCTGTTCTCTGATGATCCAAAGCCATTTTTTGTTAACATCTTTGTATATCTTCTTCCATTATTCTATATTAGTTATCATGTGAGATCTAATTTTATGTTGTGGATTTTTTTTACATAACATTATAACACAAGTACTTCTTAAGTTAATGTGAGATCTTCAGTAGCTTTATTTTATTGACTGCATCTTATCATATAAAATGTATAGGCCCAAATTGAGCCCCCCATTTAACATTTTGGTTTTTTATTCATTCTAGGTCTGCAGTAATCTTCAGTTCTGATCCTAGGTTTATCATCACGCTCAGATAATTTTTTGTAAACTGCAGGCCTCAAAGATTAGGCATTTAAAAACAAGAAAAAAGAATAAGAAAATCTGTTGCCTTTTGAAAAACTCTATAATTTTTCAGAGTCTATAGAAGTTTAATTTATCTTAGCCTGTTTCTGTATATTTGTTTCTGATAATTTTCTGAATTTTTGACAGGGATTCAAATAGGGCATATTTTACCCTTTCCTTATTGCATTTTAAGGATAAAACATATCTTTTAGATAATTTTAAACATGTTTTTATATTATTGGTCATAATTGCATTACCATTCTCTGTAGTGAAAATCAGCATTATACTCATTTCATTGTTGATATATATTCCATAATCATCACAATCCCCATTGATCTTTCAAAAACTTCTCCATCTAGCCACTCATTTACATGAAATATTTCATTAACTTGTTACATAACTAAATATAGCTCACATTTGATTATTTAATTATAATGCCTCATCGTCACTTAAGTATGAGGAGAAGTAGATATAATATCCACAGTAGGTAGCATAAAACTATTAATGCATAGAAATAAATATTTTCTAGGAATCAATACAGCACTTGAAAACCCAGCAAACCTTCCTCAATCTTATTTTAGTGTTGTAGGACAATCAAGTTTCAGTCTATGTATAGATTTACAAAATAAGAAAAAAATAAATTCTGTGAGAGAGCAGATACATTCAGGTAAAATTACCTAGCAAATCTTTTCATAGAAGTGCTTACCATGGCCCAGTTAGGAAGGACCCATTCCATTTGCACAAGACCTGTTTATACAATAGTGTCATATTACCAATGCAATTATATAGGCCTGGATGATTCATGGGACAAATTAAAGCATTGAATAAAGTGTTATTGTAGTCATTATCCTTCATTGTAAGTGAGCATTTTCACAGCATTATATAAGTATTATGCATCATAAAGTTAATAGGGAAACAGTATTAACTATGTTGCTGCTTTGTATACAGATTTCCTTTGGTGTTTTGAGTGGTGAAATGTGTATAATGTATTATTGAAACCTTTACTACAGAGTAATAATTTCTCATACTGTGTTTAGGATTCATGCCCAATCCCCCAGGTCACTAATTTAGAATGATTACATTTGCTGGTATATTCCAACTCCAATCTGCCCATTGTCTTTAGAACACATGTATTATATGCAAGAGGCAGAGTCTTGCTCAATTCATGTTAGTATCTGAATGAATATGAATTAATGGAAAATATATGCCTATATTATGTATAGATTTATATGACAAATATCTTATTTACTTCCTGTTTAATGTCTGCTCACTGACCACAATAGCTCTGACATCCCTTTGCTACATTCTGACTGACCTAGATCCAAGACTCTTGGTGGCAATAAAGAGATTATGCTGACAAGAGTGGTAAGGAATAAAATTTACTAGTTTGAAGACATGCATTGCAGATTTTCTGAACCTGTGTTGAAGTATCTATTATCGGTAATACCTGTAGTGAAACCATCTTAATATGTATTAAAATTTTAATAAACATCAATGCATTAAATAAATTATGTATTTATTTAATGATCTAGGTAAGGAATTGCAAAAGATGCTAATGTGTAAAGAGCATGTCTAGCCACATAGAACAGCTCTCCTTCTCTTTTTCCAGTACTACTTTTGTTTGTTTGTTTGTTTTTTGGTTTTTGACAAGATCTCAGTCACCCAGGGTGAAGTTCAGTGTTGCAATCTTGGCTAAATGCCTTACTCCAACCTCCGCCTTCTGTGCTCAAGCAATTCTTCCACCTCAGCTTACCAAGTAGCTAGGACTACAGGCACACACCACTACACTTGGCCAGTTTTTAAAATTTTTTGTAGAGACGTAGTCTCACTATATGCCCAGGCTGGTATTGATCTCCTGGGCTTAAGTGATTCTCCCTCGTCGATCTTCCAAAGTGCTGGGATTTCAGGCATGAGCCACCATGCTCAGCCAACTACTATTTTTCATTAGTTGCAATTGTTTATAGTTATCTTTTCCAGCTTCCTAAAAATAACAACATTGCCTCTAACAGAAGTGAATCTGGATAGTCACTTAATAACGTGTCCAGCAATAAGTAGGCAGAAACATGCCTTGTATTCTTGTTGTTTTTTTTTTTTAAGGACTGAACCAGAAGAATAAGCGTGGCAAAGTTGAACATTTGCCTTTTGATTATAGAAAACTGTTTGCATGACAGCAAAAACATATAAAGTTAAACCAAGTAGTGGTTTAAAAGAGTGAGCGTGAGGCTACTAGATGAATATATTGTGCAAAGATATAATAATTCTTATTTTGAATACTGAAGTTAAATATATTTATATATGTAATTCTAATTTAATTATATTAAATATATATTACATAATAAAATAAATTTATGAAATGTGAATTACATAGTTTTTTGTTGTTGTTTTGGTTTCTAATCTCACAGAAACAATCTGCCATTCTGTGAGAGAAAGGCCAAGTGGCTGTAAGCTATTAAATGGTAGCTGTCCAAATACTATTACAGGAAAGCAGTGTTCATTCTCTCTTCTCTCCCTCAAACTTTAAAGTATTTTTTTAAATAAAAATGCAATGATCATTTAAAATTTAATGATAATATGAAAATAAATACAAATTTTTATCTAAAAACGTAAGATGTTTCAATACACATTTCAATGTGCTGGAAACTTTCCATTTTATTCAAAAAATCTGCTCCATGTTAAAAGCCTTGACTAAAGAGGAAGTTTTTATAATCAAAAACAATTTTTCTTTAGATAACATTGTGTACAATGCTATATATCTCTCTTCCTTCGGCTTCCCTGTTCCCTTATACACAACAATATTAAAATTTGTTCAATTAATAACCATACAATGGCCTCCAAGTGTTCAAGTGAAAAGAAGAGTTGCAAGTCTCTCGATTTAAATGAAAAGTTACAAAAATTAAGCTTGGTGGGGAAGATATGTTGAAAGCTGACACAGGCTAAAAACTAAGACTCTACTACCAAAAAGTTAACCAAGTTGTGCATGCAAAGAAAGAGCTCTTAAAGGAAATTAAAAGTGGTACTACAGTGAACAAGTGAGTGTTCAGAAAGTGTAACAACCTTATTGCTGATGTGAAGAAAGTTTTAATGGTCTGGATAGAAGATCAGACCAGCTTCAAAATTCCCCTAAGCCAAAGCCTGATCCACAGCAAGACCCTAACTCTCTTTAATTCTGTGAAAGCTAAGAGAGGTGAATAAGTGGCAGATGAAAATTTTGAATATAGCAGAGGTTGAAGGAAAGGAGGCATCGCTGTAACATAAAAGTGCAAAGTGGGCCTGGCATAGTGGCTCACGCCTGTAATCCCAGCACTTTGGGAGGCCGAGGTGGTCAGATCACAACGAGGTCAGGAGATCGAGACCATCCTGGCTAACACAGTGAAACCCCGTCTCTACTAAAAATACAAAAAATTAGCCGGGTGTGGTGGCGGGCACCTGTAGTCCCAGCTACTTGGGAGGCTGAGGCAGGAGAATGGCATGAACCTGGGAGGCGGAGCTTGCAGTGAGCCGAGATCACTCCACTGCACTCCAGCCTGTGGGACGAGCGAGACTCAGTCTCAAAAAAAAAAAAAAAAAAAAGTGCAAAGTGAAGTGCTGATGTGGAAGTTTCAGCCAGTTTTCTAGATGGTCTAGCTAAGATGATGGATGAAAGTGGCTACACTAAATGAGAGATTTTAAATATAGACTAAACAGCCTTTTATTGGAAGAAGGTTCCATCTAGGACTTTATAGCTAGAGAGAAGTCAACGCCTGGCTTCAAACCTTCAAACCTTTGAAGGACAGGCTAACTCTTTTTAGGAGCTAATGATTCTGGTGACTAAGTTGAAGTCAATGCTCATTTACCATTTTAAAAATCCTAGGGCCCTTTAATACTGTTAAATCTGCTCTTCCTATGCCCTACAAATGGAACAAGTCTAGATAATGGCATATCTGTTGATAGCATGTTTTACTAGATATTTAAGTCCACTGTTGAGACCTACTGCTCAGAAAAAAGGTGCCTTTCAAAATATGACTGCTCATTGAAAATGCACCCCAGAGCTCCAATGGAGATGTACAAAGAGATTAAAGTTTTTTTTTTTCATGCCTCTTATCACTCTGCAGCCCATGGATCAAGAAGTAACTTTGACTTTCAAGTCTTATTATATAAGAAATACATTTCACAAGGCTACAGCTGCCATAGATAGTGATTCTTCTGACAGATCTGGGCAAAGTAAATTGAAAATCTTTTGGAAAGGATTCACCACAATAGATGCCGTGAAGAACACTTGTGATTCAAGGGAGAAGGTCAAAATATAAACATTATTGGAAATGTGAAAGAAACTGATTTTACCTTTCATGGATGGCTCTGAGTGGTTCAATATTCAGTGTAGGAAGTCACTGCAAATGTGGTAAAAATTGCAAGAGAAGTAGAATTACAAGTGGGGCCTGATGTGACTGAATTGCTACACTTTCATGAAAAAACTTTAACAGAGGAGTTTCTTTTAATGAACAAGCAAAGAACATGGTTCTTTTGAGCTGAATTCTAGTTCTGGTGAAGATGCTGTGAACATTGTTAAAATGACAACAGTTGATAAACCAGTGGCAGGGTTTAAGATTTACTCTGATTTTGAAAGAAGTTCTTCTTTGGGTAAAATGCTATCAAACAGCATCTCAGGCTACAGAGAAATCCTTTGTGAAACAGAGTCAATAAGTGTGGTAAACTTCATAATCTTAAAAAATTGCCACAACTATCTCAACTTGCAGTGACCACCATGCTGATCAGTCAGCAACCATCAACATCGAGGCAAGACTGTCTACTAGCAAGAAGATTATGACTCTCTGAAGGCTCAGAAGATTGTTAGAATTTTTTAGCAATAAAATATTTTTAAATTAAGGTGTGTACATTGACCTTTAGGCATAATGCTATTGCACACTTAATAGACTATAGTATAGTGTAAGCCTAACTTTTATACGCATTGGGAAACCCAAAAATTTGTGAGTCATTTTATTATGGCAGTCTGGGACCAAACCTGCAATATCTCCAAGGTCTGTGTGAATTTACAAATACATACATATATACATAAGCGCATATAGACATAAATAGATACATATACATAGGCACAAATAACTGTGTTTATATATGTATAAGTGTATATTTTTATAATATAAATATAATATAAAAATTTGTGATTCACTTTGTTATGGCAGTGTGGAACCAAACCTGCAATATCTCCAAGGTCTGTCTGAACTTACAAATATGTACATATTTAAATAAGTGCATATATACATAAATAGGCATATATACATATGTACAAATATCTGTTTGCATATGTTTATATAAATATACAAATATATTTTTTATAATATAAGTATAAAAATTTGTGGGGCACTTTATTACAGCAGTCTGGAACCAAACCTGCAATATCTTCAGGGTCAGTGAACTTACAGATATATACATATGAAATTAAGTGCATATATACATAAATAGATACATATACATATGTACAAATATCTGTACATATACATATGTACAAATATCTGTATATATGTACATATATCTATTTATGTATATATGCATATATATATATATAGAGAGAGAGAGAGAGAGAGAGAGAAATGGCAGTGATCTGTCTATAGGAAAGTAGAAAGGCAATTCAGAAACACCTGTTTCTGCTATCGCAGGGTCCAGATTTACCATGGAAGCAGCTTACTGGGGCTTCTTAGTGGTGAGCAGAAAGAAGGAATGGCTGAAGTCTGATCTGAGGCACCATACAGAATCACCCTTTTCTCTAACTTTGTATTTGACTTGTTTCTTTCTCCCCTTGGCAACTCTTTCCTAATGGAACTTTTCATTAGCATTTGCTTTGGAATAAAAAGAGCTTAACTCACCAAAGCTATTGTATTGTGTTCTTAAGTTAGAGCATGTTTGTATTTGCCTTCAGTTAACAGTCTTCTACCCTAAGCATAGACATGCCAGTAACAATGTGATAGGACTTCCTTATCTCGATTTCAGTTTATAGCTGAGATGTATGCAAATAAATATAATACACACATATACAATATATATGTGTGTAATACACACATATACAATATATATGTGTGTAATACACACATATACAATATATATGTGTGTAATACACACATATACAATATATATGTGTGTATTACACACATATACAATATATTTGTGTGTAATACACACATACACAATATATTTGTGTGTAATACACACATATATAATGAAATTTCCATTTTATGTCAAGTATTTTGATATTCTGATTTTCTATATATTAAAATTATTTGTAAAACCTGACAAATATTTTAAAAAGGTATGACTACTAGAAATTTCTGTGTTCTTTTTACTTTAGAGGATTAGTGTTCTTTAGCAAATCTATAAAATAAAATATATTTTTATAGAATAAAACATTTCTAACTTACTATATTTTTTTAGAGATAGGGTCTTACTCTGTCCCCCAAGCTGGAGTACAATAGTGTGATCACAGCTCATGGCAACCTCAACCTCCCGGCTGGGCTCAAGGAATTCTCCTACCTCAGCCTTCGAGTAACTAGGACTGCAGGAGTGCACCATACCTGCCTGGCTAGTTTTCTTTCTGTTTTTTTTTTTCTTTCTTTCTTTGTAAAGATGGAGTCTTGCCATGTTGACCAGGCTGGTCTTCAACTCCTGGACTCAACAAGCCTTATGCCTTGGCCTCCCACAGTGCTGGGATTACAGGTGCAAGCCACTAGACACAGCTGTAATTTTCTTTTTAAATAACAAATGAAAATTATAAAAATACTTCAAATTAGTGTACTAAATGTTTCTCCTGACTTGTAGTTCTGGGATATCAATTATTTATTTCTGTATTTCCTATGACATTCAAAATCCTACTGAAATGAGCAAGAAAATATTAAAATATTTTAAAAATTGATTAGTATCCCCTGATATGTAAAGGTGTCAGTACATACCACCTTGAAAATAATAGTAACGGAGGCCAGGTGCGGTGGCTCATGCCTGTAATCCCAGCACTTTGGGAGGCCGAGGCGGGCGGATCACGAGGTCAGGAGATAGAGACCATCCTGGCTAACACGGTGAAACCCCGTCTCTACTAAAAATACAAAAAAATTAGCCGGGCATAGTGGCGGGCGCCTGTAGTCCCAGCTACTCAGGAGGCTGAGGCAGGAGAATGGCGTGAACCCGGGAAGCAGAGCTTGCAGTGAGCTGAGATAGCATCACTGCACTCCAGCCTAGGCGACAGAGCGAGACTCCATAATGTAAATTGATATGTCAATTTAAAAGAACAATTTAACAATATGTATACAAATTAAATGAGAACAAAATAGAAATGTGTAAATATGTATGCCCTAAGATGTTTACAAGTAATTTCTGCAACAGTAAAAAAGCAATTGCAGGCAGAAAAAAATGCTTGTCAGATTGATCAAATAATCTATGCTTTAAATGTACACTAAATTGCTTTAAAAATATAGTGAATGAAGGCAGTAGTAAACAATTCAGCCGTTAAAATATTCAAAGCATATGTATTAAGTTAAATAAGCACTGTAGCGTGTGTGTATATGTGCCTTTGTGTTTATAAGTTACATGCCCAAATTAATTTGTTTTAGGAGTTAAAGAGATAAGTTACAGGGTAAGATTATGAGAGGTCTTAAACTTCTATACATATTTTCAATGAATAAACACATATTACTTTTATTAGAAACAAAAAGAAATGAGTTTCCATTTTTAAAATATGGATACATAAACAATTTAATATTGTAGATAAGCTGCATTTATTCATTTAATTTATTCATAATTCTATTACCAATATTTCTTGCCTGTTTGAGACAAGACCAGTATAGGTCACAGGATCAAGAAGTAGGACACTGATAAGAATGAATTAGAGAAATTGGGGTTAGATAAGGTCATCTTGCACTGGAGATTTGTAGAGGTTAGCTGTGGTTATAAAGGGCAAATGTGGAGTTTCTTGTTTTTCATAAATACCTTCTGAGAATGTCTTTTATCGATTTATTCCTTGGTCTTATGTTAATTCTTTAGCCTTATCAGAAGTACTTAATCTCTGTGTTCAAACAGTTTGAAGGCAAGGGTTATTCAGCATACAGTGTTCTGGTCAGCCAGGTGAGGAAATATGGAAGGCAGAGGAAGCTATCATCTGTGGTTAGCTTCCTTGGAGGGCAGCTGCCTTGATGAATTCTGTTTTCTAGATCTTTAGGACCAATTTCTTAATAGTTTCTGTGAATATCAAAGTGCCCTTCCTTATACATACCAAGCAAATTCTCTAGGGGCTCCAGAGAAGTACTGCTACAGCTGCATTTTCTCCTAGGCAGCAGGACTTGTAGCCAGGGACAGCTTAGCACTCTAAAACTGGGTCCACACCCTGTTGCTTGGTGCCCCAGCCTGCTCGATCTCCTGATATTGTGGTGCATGAAGGCCCTCTCAGCTCTACCCTTAGGCAGAAATCCAGGCATTTGGAGCATCCACTTGCCTGGTTCAGCAGCCTGAGCTGTCTCATGCTTCCTTGACATAGATCTTGGTGCAGCTGGGCTCTATCTGCTCCATGTCCAGGTAGATCTCCAGGCATTTGGAACACCCACTTGCCTGGTTCAGCAGCCTGAGCTCCCAGACCCTTCCTGGGCAAAGACTATGATGCAGGGAGGCCCTCTCTGCTCTACACATAGGCAAATCTAGAGGCATTCAGCGCACCTACTTGCCTGATTCAGCAGTGTGAGTCACCCCACCTCTCCTGTGCAGAGATCTTGGTGCAGGGGGCCCAAGATCCATGGGCCCATGCCCATGCCCAGGCAAATCTCCAGGCATCTGTAGCACCAACTCCCTGGATTGAGAGTATAGGTCACCCCCTCCCTTTGCAGAGAACTTGGGAATGAGGAGGATCCCCTGCTTCACACCTCTGGGTGCTGCCCACTGGTGGTTTCCTACTATTAATAGATTTTCTCTTGGTGCTGGTACCGGTGCCTACCATCAGGGAACCTGTAGAGGGACCTACCCAGTCTGGCCCTGCCCTTCATGGTTCCTACCCGACAGGGCTGAACAAGGAGCTCAGACCACTATACATTCCACAAATCAGCCTGTTACCTTAAGCAAAAGAGCTTCTGCTAGTAAACAAGGATCAAGGATATACCCAGACACATTGGCTGCAGCCAGCTTTCTGCAGATTTCTAGGTTGCACTCCACAACCCAATGTAAAGCCTGCTAAAAGAAGTGCATAGGGCTACAGAAGCAAAGCCAAAACACCTTACCCAGTATTCTCTATAGTCAAACCCCTGAGGGAGGGGAGAGAAAGGAATAATAATAATAATAATAATAATAATAATAATAATAACAATAATACAGGGAAAGAAAGAAAAAGAAAAATCTTACCCACAGGAAAATAATTACAAAATTTAGAAGTGCCAGCATCTCAGTATGAGAAGTAACCAGTGTAAGAATTCTGGCACCATGAAAAATCTGAATGTAGTGACCACCACAGGATTTCACTAGCTCTCTAGTAATGGTCCCTGACTGAAATAGAAACTTAGAAATGACAGATAAAGAATTCAAAGCATGGGCCAAGCACAGTAGCTCACGTCTGTAATCCCAGCACTTTGGGATGCTGAGGTGGGATGATTATTTGAGGTTAGGAGTTCAAGATCAACCTGGACAACATAGTGAAACCCCATCTCTGCTGAAGATACACAAGTTAGCTGGGCGTGGTGTGTAGTCCCAGCAACTCATGAGGCCGAGGCAGGAGAATTGCTTGAGTCCAGGAGGTGCAGGTTGCAGTGAGCCAAGATCACCACTAAACTCCAGCCTGGGTAACAGAGCAAGACTCTGTCTAAAAAAATAAAAAAATAAAATAAATACATAAATAAAAAAAATGAAAGCATGAATTGCAAGGTAGCTCAATGAAATCCAAGGTTACAAATTAAGACAAAGAAACTTCTAAAGGAATCCAGGAAATGAAAAAAGAGATAACCATGGTAAAAAGAAATCAATCAGACCTTCTGAAATTAAAAATCTCACTTAAAGAATTTCAAAATAAAATTGGAAGCGTTACCAATAGACTGGACCAAGCATAAGAAGAAATTTCAGAGCTTGAAGACTGGTCTTTTTAACTAAGTCAGACAAAAATGAAAAAAAATGAATTATAAAACATGAACCGCCTTTGAGATATATGGGGTTATATAAAGCAACAAAATCTGTGAATTATTGGCAATCCTGAAAGAGAATGAGATAAAATAAACAATCTGGAAAATATAAATGAGAGAATAATTAACAAAATTGTCCTGATTTTGCTAGAAAAGTAGACATTCAGATATGAGAAATCCAGAGAACATCTGCCAGATACTTTACAAAATGAACATCACAAAGACATATAGTCACTAGACTCTCCATGTGCTAAGGAAAAGCTCTTAAAGGCAGCTAGCGAAAAAGGACAGGTCATCTACAGAGGGAACCCCATCAGTCTAACAGTGGATTTCTCAGCATAAACCTTACCAACCAGGAGAGATTGGGGGACGATTTTTAGCATTCTTAAGAAAAAGAAATTCCAACAAAGTTATATGCTGCCAAACCACGCTTCAAAAATGAAGGAGAAAAAGAATCTTTTCCAGATAAGTAAGGGCTAAGAGAATTCATTACCCCTAAATGAGCTTTGCAAGAAATCATTGAGGGAGTTCTAGGCATAGAAACAAAAGAACCATACCTACTACCACAAAAACACACATAAGTATGTAGCACACAGACCCTACCAAGCAAGCATAAGATAGAAACTACAAAGCAACTAGCTAAAAATTTCACGATGGGACCCAAACCTCACATATTAACCTTGAATGTAACTGGCCTAATTGCTCCCACTTAGCTTTGAATGTAGATGGCTTAAGTGTTCCACTTAAAAGGCACACAGTGGAAAGCTGGATAAAATATAATCTGCTGTCTCAGAGCAGACGTTGCTATTCTTTTTTACTATTATTATTCTTTAAGTTCTGGGATTCATGTGCAGAACGTGCAGGTTTGTTACATAGGTATAAACGTGCCATGGTGGATTGCTGCACCCATCAACCCATCATCTGCATTAGGTATTTCTCCTAATGACATCCCTCACCTAGCCCCCCACCCACCAGCAGGCCCCAGTGTGTGATGTTCCCCTCCCTGTGTCCATGTGTTCTCATTGTGCAGCTCCCACTTATGAGTGAGTACATGTGGTGTTTGGTTTTCTGTTCCTGTGTTACTTTGCTGAGAATGATGGTTTCCAGCTTAATCCATGTCCCTGCAAAGGACATGAACTCATTCTTTTTCATGGCTGCATTCCATGATGCATATGTGCCACATTTTCTTTATTCAGTCTATCATTTGGTTGGTTCCAAGTCTTTGCTATTGTGAACAGTGCCACAATAAACATATGTGTGCATGTGTCTTTACAGTAGAGTAATTTATAATCCTTTGGGTATATACCCAGTAATGGGATTACTGGGTTAAATGGTATTTCTGGTTCTAGATCCTTGAGGAATCACCACACTGTCTTCCACAACGGTTGAACTAATTTGCACTCCTACCAACAGTGTAAAAGCATTCCTATTTCTCCACATTCTCTCCACCATTTGATGTTTCCTGACTTTTTAATGATTGCCATTCTAACTAGCATGAGATGGTATCTCACTGTGGTTTTGATTTGCATTTCTCTGATGACCAGTGTTGATGAGCATTTTTTCATGTGTCTGTTGGCTGCATAAATATCTTCTTTGGAGAAGTGCCTGTTCATATCATTTGCCCACTTTTTGATGGGGTTGTTTTTTCTTGTAAATTTGTTTAAGTTCTTTTAGATTCTGGATATTAGCTCTTTGTCATATGGATAGATTGCAAAAATATTCTCTCATTCTGTAGGTTGCCTATTCACTCTGATGATAGTTTCTTTTGCTGTGCAGAAGCTCTTTAGTTTAAATAGATCCCATTTGCCAATTTTGGCTTTTGTTGCCATTGCTTTTGGTGTTTAAGTCATGAAGGCTTTGCCCATGCCTATTTTCTGAATGGTATTGCCTAGGTTTTCTTCTAGGGTTTTATGGTTTTAGGTCTTAAGTTTAAGTCTTTAATCCATCTTGAGTTAATTTTTGTGTAAGGTGTAAGAAATGGGTCCAATTTCTGTTGCTATTCTTATATCAGATAAAACAGATTTTAAACCAACAACAGTTTTAAAAAAAAGATGGGCATTATGTAATGATAAAGAGTTCAATTCAACAAGAAGTCTTAACTCTCCTAAATATATGTACACTCAACAATGGAGCATCAAGATATATAAAACAAGTACTTCTAGACCTATGAAAAAATGTATACAGCCACACAATAATAGTGTCACCCCATTGACAACATTGGACAGATCTTTGAGATAAAAAACTAAGAAAGAAATTCGGAACTTAATCTTGACACTTGACCAATTGGACCTAATGCATATCTGCAGAATGTTCCACCCATCAATCACATAATATATATTCTTCTCCCTTGCACATCAAACGTACCCCAAGATCGAGTACATGCTTTGCCATAAAGCAAGTCTCAATAAATCTTTTAAAAATCAAAATCATACCAACTATCTTCTCACACCACAGTAGGATACAAATAAAATAAATGCCAAGAAGATGTCTCTATATCACACAAGTACATGGAAATCAAACAACTTGCTTCTGAGTAACCTTTAGCAGAAGCACAAGGAAAAAAGAAAACTACAGGCCAGTAGCCCTGATAAACATAGATGCAAAAATCCTTAATAAAATATCAGAAAACTGAATTCAACAGCACATAAAAAAGTAAATTCACCATGATTAAATAGGCTTTGTTTCTGGGATGCAAGGTTGTTTCAACACGTGCAAATTAATAAATGTGATTCACCACATGAATAGAATTAAATACAAAAACCATCTGTTTATCTTAATAGATGTGGCAAGAGCTTTCAATAAAATTCAACATCCCTTCATGAAAATAAAAACCCTTAAGAAACTAGACATTGATGAAACATACCTCAAAATAATAAGAGCCATCTATGGCAAACCCACTGCCAACATCACAAATTGGCAAAAACTGTAAGCATTCTCCTTTAGAACTAAAACAAGACAAAGATGCCCACTCTCACCACTCCTATTCAACAAAGTATTGAAAGTGCTAGCCAGAGAAATCAGGCAAGAAAAAGAAATAAACGGAATCCAAACAGGATAAGAGAAATTCAAACTATCTCTCTTCACTAACAATGATTCTATACTTGAAAACCATAAGGACTCTGCCAGAAGACTATTAGAACTGATAAACAATTTTAGCAAAGTTTCAGGATAAAAAAACAATATACAAAAGTAAGTAAAATTTCTATACAGCAATAACATTTGGTATAGTTTGTATTTTTATCCCCACCCATATCACATGTTTAATTGTAATACCCAGTATTAGAGGTGAGGCCTTGTGGCAGGTAATTGGATCATGGAGTTGAAGTTTTCATAAATGTTTGAGCGTTGTCTCCTTAAAACTGTCCTCATGATAATGAGTGAGTTATTGTGAGACCTGATAATTTAAAAATGTGTGGCACCTCAATCTCCCCTCCTTTCTTTCACTTACTCCTGCTTTACCTTCTGCTATGATTAAAAGCTCCCCGAGGCCTCCCCAGAAGCTGAGCAGATGCTAACACCATACTTCCTGTAAAGCCTGAAAAACTGTGAGCCAATTAAACCTCCCTCTTTTTAAAATAAATTACCCAGTCTCAGGTATTTCTTTATAGCAATGAAAGAATGGCCTAATACAGAAAATTGGTATCAAGGAGCTGGGCATTGCTATAAAAATACCTGAAAATGTGGAAATGACTTTGGAACTGAGTAACAGGCATAAGTTGGAAAGGTTTGGAGGATTTAGAATAAGACAGGAAGATAAGGAAAAGTTGGAACTTCTTGAAGACTGGTTAAATGGATGTGACCTAAATGCTGATAGTAATGTGAACAGTGTTCAGGCTGATGAGGTCTTAGATGGAAATGACAAACTTATTGGAAACTGGAGCAAAGGTCATATTTGTTATGCTTTAGCAGAGAACTTGGTTGCATTTTTTTTCACGCCCTAGGGATCTGTGGAAGTTTGAACTTCAGAATGTATTCGGCAAAAAAAAGTGCTAAGCAGCAAAGCATTCAAGAGGTAATCTGGTTGCTTCTAAGAGCTTATGCTCACCTGTGGGAGCAAAGAAAAGACTTAAAGTTGGACTTTATATTTAAAAGGGAAGCAGAGTACAAACATTTGGAAAATTTGCAGCCTAGCAATATGCCAGAGAAAGAAAAAGCTTTTTGGGAAGAGGAATTTAAGCAGGCTATGGGGTAACCATTTGCTAGAGAGGTTTGTATAAGTAAAATGGAGCCAAGTGCTGATATTCAAGAAAATGGGAAAAAAGGGCCTTGGAGGCATTTCAGAGATCTTCACAGCAGCCCCTTCCATCATAAGCCTTGAGGCCTAGGAGGACTGATTGGTTTTGTGTGCTGGGAGCCATGGCCCCACTGCCCTAAATAGCTTCAGGACACTGCTTCCTGCAACTTGGCTGTTCTGGCTCCAGCCTAGGCTCAAAGTATCCCATATACTGCTTGTGTTGCTGCCCTAGAGAACACACGTTATCATAAGCTTGGTGGCTACCATATGGTGTTAAGCCTGTGGTTGCACAGAGTGCAAGACTGATTGAGGCTTGGTACTCTGCCTAGATTTCCAAATATGTATGGAAAAACCTGAGTACCCAGGAAGAAGCCTGCTGTGGGGGCAGAGTGCTCACAGAGAACTTCAACTAGGGCAGTGCCAAGGGGAAATGTGGAGTTGGAGCCCCCACACAGAGCCCCCACTAAGGTACTGCATAGTGGAGCTATGCAAAGGGGGCCACTGTCTTCCACGTCAGAGAATGGTAGATCCATCAGCCGTTTGCACCCTGCACCTGGAAAAGTAGCAAACTATCAACACTAACATGTGAGAGCAACCTTGAGGGCCAAACACTGCAAAACTATAGGGGTGGAGCTGCCAAAGGCTTTGGGAGCCTACCCCCTGCAGCAATGCATCCCAGATATGAGATCCAGAGTCAAAGGAGATTATTTTGGAGCTTTATAATGGGTGCAGCTGGAGGCCATAATCCTAAGCAAATTACACAGGAATAGAAAACAAATAACCACATTTTCTCACTTATAAGTGGGAACTAAATTTTGGGTACTCATGAACATGAAGATGGCAACAGTAGACACTGGAGCCTACTATGGGGGGAGGAATGGAGTGGGGTAAAGTTTAAGCATAGTACCCAACCATTTTTTCAAACTATAGATATAATTTTTCAAATATTTTTAAATTGTGTAGAGCAATACCCAAAACAATAATTGTGTTTTTAAATGCAAATACAGTTGGTTCCTTTTTTTTCTTTCTTCTTCTTTTTTTTTTTTTGAGACAGAATCTCTTTCTGTCACCCAGGCGGGAGTGCAGTGGCATGTTCTTGGCTCACTGAAACCTCTGCCTCCTGAGTTCAAGGGATTCTCCTGCCTCTGCCTCCTGAGTAGCTGGGATTACAGGCATGCACCACTGCACCCAGCTAATTTTTGTATTTTTAGTAGAGACAAAGTTTCACCATGCTGGCCAGGGTGGTCTTGAAATCCTGACCTCAGGTGATCTGCCCACCTCAGCCTCCCAAAGTACTAGATTACAGGTGTAAGCCACCGTACCTGGCCTGATTCTTAAAAATACAGGTTTGAACTGAGTAGGTCTAATTATATGTGGATTTTCTTTTGTCTTTGCCACCCTGAGACAGCAAGAACAACCCCTCATCTTACTCCTTCTCTTTAGCCTAGTCAATGTGAAGATGACAAAGATGAAGACCTTTATAATTATCCTCTTTCACTTAATGATTACTAAATATATTTATCTTCTTTATGATTTTCTTAATAACATTTTCTTTACCTTACTTTATGTAAGAATGAAATATGTAATATATATAATATAAAAAGTGTACTAATTGACTAAATTATTGGTAAGGCTTTCGGTCAACAATAACGATTTGTAGTTAAGTTTTTGAGAAGTCCAAAGATTTTTGACTGTGCAGGGTGTTGGTGCCCCTAACCTCCATGTTGTTCAAGAGTCAACTGTGAGATGCTTTCAGTGAAATTTGTTTTGCCAGCCACTTTGTGATGGTAATCTGTCCTTAGAAGCATCAAAATTCAAGATCACGAGGTTGTTATTTATAAGAGATAATGATAGAATTTTCTTAACTGTATCTGTTTGTCTTTAATTATGTAATACATTACTCAGCTTATTATTTATGTAGTGTTAGACAATACAGATTATTTTACATAAAGCCAGTTTATTTCTGTGAGAAAGTGTTTTAATTATGGAATTAAACTAAATTTTCTAATGTATGTATAGAATATTGGACAGCACTACCATTAGAGAAACACATAATGGAAACCACTCCCTGCTATCAGTAATTCCAAAAGGGTGAAGGGTATAATGAGGCACGTCAGGCTCCCCTTCCCACAATGGCCTGAACTAGTTTTTCAGGTTAACTTTGCAATGCTCTTGGCTAAGAGGAGAGATCCATTCAGATGGTTGGGGGGCTTAGAATTTTATTTTTGGTTTACGATTAGAAACTATAACTTTGGTGTACTGTTCAGTAAATGATAGCATGAGGGACTTAAATAAACAAAAATTAGCTTCCAATATGTATCTAATATTAATTTAAAAAGTAAATTTGTCATTGGGAAATTTGGTTATATTTCAATTAGCCTTAAAAACAACTATCACAAATCAGTAGTTTGAATTATCATTACTATTTTACCATCTACTACTACATGAAATCAAAGCCCTTTTAACAAAAGGACTTAACTCCACATTACTATTGCTTTTGATGAACCCAAAGAGTATTATATATTGCGGAAATAGAATTTGAGAAATCTTGCTATGAGTGAATTCCTAATCTGATAAAGAGAGCATAAACATTACTACATCTTCTTAAGTAACAGGAAATATGGATGAAATACATAGAATTCTGCCCTAAGACTTTATATTGCTTTCACAAAAGGCATTTAAGTTTAGCTACTCTGATATTAAAGTGTTAAACAAATTTGAGCATATACATGTGTTTGTCTTAAGTTAAAATGAAATTTATACTAACTAAAAGCATTTTGGTTTATGCTTTTGGAAATTAGATAGAAAATTATTTATTGAGAGGTAATATTACTTTACTGGTTCCCTGTATTTATACATCTGTGCAGTTCCTTCCCATTGAATCTTAGCTGGCTCATGACCTTCTTTAACACAAGGCAGAAGAATCATAGGTGCACCCATTCAGGATCTAAGCTTTAAGGAAGCTTGTTAGATTATAGTTTTTGTGGTCTAGGGAATTCTATCCACCATGTAATAAGTCTGACTACCCCAAGGCCCCATGCCCCATGCTACAAGCAGTCCAGCTTGCCCAAGTGGAGATGTCACAAAAAGGATAACCTAAATTCCTAGACAGCAGCCTCAGCTGAGTCCCCAGTTGGCAGCCTGCACTAACGTTCCAGAAATGTGAGAGAGGCCACATTAGAGGTGGACTGTTGACCTCAGTAAAGTCAACCTGTTGATGCCATGTGGAGCACAGCTGTTGATGTCCAAATTGTAAAACTGGAAGGAAACAAATTAAAAGTTGTACTGTTAGCCACTAAGTTTTATAAACCAAAAATAAAGTTCTAAGTCCCCCAACCAATTGAGTGTGTGGACCCTCCTCTTAGCTGAGGGCATTCCAAAGATAACCTGAAAAACTAGTTCAGGCCATGATGGGAAAGAGGGGGTCATGCAAGCCTCATTATACTCTCCTCCTTTTGGAATTAATGAAAAACTGACCAGCATTAACTTAAAAACAGACCTTAAGACTGATGAAACAGACTCTGTAGGAATAAGATACCAACATGACAGATAGTAGGTCCTGAAATAAGTCAACATTTTTTACCTCAAAATATATTTTTGACTTATTTTGAAATAACCCTGCAAAGCTGTCTCTTGTGGGGGAAAATCCATATTCTGTAAAGATTCCTCTTCTCTTTCTAAGTCTTTTCTCCAATCCAGGAGAGAATTAGTTATGAGTCTGGTACCTTTTTAAGTCTGGTAAAAAATATTTACAATGTATTCTCTCCGAAGCCTGTTACCTAGATGCTTCATCTGCATGATTAAAAAAAAAAAAAAGCCTTAGTCTCTACAACTCTTTAGCTTACCCCCAGACACTTCTTTTTATTGATTACAGGGCTTTAGATAATAACAATTCTTTCAATCAATTGTCAATCAGAAAATCTTTGAATTTATCTATGATCTGGAAGCCCCACTTCAAATATCCTGCCTTTCCAGAATAAACCAATGTGCATCTTACATGTGTTGATTGATGGCTTATGCCTTCCTAAAACATATAAAACCAAGCTATTACCCAACCACCTTGGGCACATACACTCAGAACATCCTGGGGCTATGTAACAAATCATAGTCCTCATATTTGTCTCAAAATAAATCTCTTCAAATATTTTACAGTTTGACTCTTTTCATCAACAGTTTTGAAGCCCTTTCTTATGCAGCATTAGATAACTAAAAGAGATTATTCCATATTCATGTATTTTAATTATCATGCTATGACTGCTAGAGATACTGTAATTTCTTTTGAAATGTATTTTAAGAGTACATTTGTGAAATTCTCAAGTAGTGAGGCCAAGTATATTTTGTTATTACACCTTGCTGTGAGATTTATGTCTAATCACAATTTTAAATGTATATAGTAATTGATAGTTGTATGAATGGAACACTGAAGTAAGAGCTTGCTTCTTTAATTATCAGTTTGATATACAGCATAATTAACTAAGTGGTGGCAGTAAAATTACATAGCCATGTAATAATTCATTTTGTATTCATGCACCATGTCCAATTTTTTCTATGTTAAACTTTAACCTGCATCTTATCATTCACATTATTAATTTGTACAAACAGATGCCCATTTTATTTTATTTCTTAATTACATGAGGGATCTGGCATGATTATTTATGCAACTACATTAATGAGGTATAGCTTCAGAATATTTTGGTGAAAAGGAACAAAATATCCACCCATAATATTTTAAAATAAAGATTGATACTTGAAAATAAATATATCAAAATAGATGATTAAATTGCACCAGTATTAAAAAGTGAATTTTAGAATATATTCCCATAAATATTGGAGAAATTAAAAGAATATTAAGAACTAAAGAACTGCTTATAATGTTTATATAACCGCTTGAAGGACATATTTGTGTGGGGTGGTATAAGAGACATTGTAATCAGCCAACTGTTCCCTAATGACCAATTTGTACTGTTTTGAATGTGGATGTACTGATGAGTAGATTATCTGATCATATGAATTATTTACGTCCTTTAGAATTTAAAGAACTAAGTTTGTAAAGATGGAAGGAAATGATGAACAGAAAACATAATTTTTATGATCTATACAGTTTTTATTCATGTGTATTCATATAGCAATTAAGTGCAATGTAAGTAGCTGAGGCCAAAAAAAAGTTTATAAAAATAAATTATGATGACCTTATTTTATACTTTGTGTGATTAAAAAAACAGAACTCTATTCTAAAGTGGGTAACTTTTCACTTATTCAAATAGGCTAATAGGTTTGCTCAGGCTGCGTCTTCTTTTGTGATAATGGCCTAACTTCCTATGCAAAATGGCTCAGTAACCCAGACGTTTTGGTCTAACATTTAAGTGAGTTCATGTTATGTAAACAGATATATTCACACACACCATTTCTTTTCTCTTTTGATTTACTTTATTTTACTTAAATAATATTTACGGAACATAAATGAGGCATAATTAACAGAGGCTAGGAATGTTACAGTACAGTGATGGCTGTGTGGATCAGGTTTGCATGAGTATGCCTTATTAATCTTGTTTTACTTTTTCCAACGTTACAAAGTGTTTGCTTTATTGTATTTTGCCTCTTCTGTTCATAATTATTTAACCAATAGTCCTCGATACTCTATTGGAAGAAACTGGAACTAATAATAATTTTGATTCATAGTACAAATAAATTTCTAGTGATCATAATTAAGAAACTATTCTAATTCTTACTTGACATAGCTAACTCTACAGAGATTTTGTTGATTGTGGCAAAAATAACTTCTTTTTTTTTAATTTCCTTAATTTCTGGCGGTTTCTATTTAGAGACTGGTACTGTTAAAAACTGCCACTAAGGCTCTATTATGGTTCTGCTGGGGGTTTAATTTATTAGATTTGTGCCTAACCTTATCAAACGAGCTTCTAACTAATGATTATACTCTAAAGACCACTTTTACACTAATTGGCTTTCCCTGTTTAATTGTTTTACAAAATTGATAATTTAGTGGAAATATAATAAACCTTGAATATTTTAGATAATTTGGCCCCTTTGTGGTCTTTAGAGGGTTCTCACTTAATAGAAAATTGGAATGTACATTGTAAAATTTAGGTCTTGCTCTCAGCACATGATTTGTAAAGGATGTATGATAGCATAAAGAAGGTTTTAACAATGCTATGATTCTGCTGCAGATGTTGGAATAGTTATACATAGAATACAATATATTTTCTTTTAAATTTTGAATTGTATATGAACATTAAAAACTAATTTTGGTGTGGATGTCAAGTAATAATTCAATTTTCAGAAGCGCCTTTTATAATTCTTGTTTTTTTAATCAAGGCAAATGTCTGTTTTGATATTTTGCTTCAGTAAATTAAATTTTAGTGTCATTATTTACCGAATTTTACTTAGTGTGACTCTAGCAAAAGCAGTTTCTGATTTACAGAATAATGCATTCTACTGGACATACGAATATAAGTTTAAAGATTCTTGAGTTACTTTAATATATTTATTAATACTACTTATTTTTTAGCCTTGATGAAGACTGGCTCTGAGTGCTTTCCTAACACTTGCTAACCAAGGTTTAGCATATGCTAGAAAACTATTTATTGTATTATTTTATAATAGTTCTCATGTCTTTACCTTCATCAGAATATGAGCTCCCTAAGGACAACAACCCTGTAATACTTCCGCAAGAAATGGCCCAGAGCTCCCTACCAAACTCCTATACTAGTGAAACAAACTATTTTTCCAGGAGGGGTTTGGAATGGAAAACCAAAAATAGACCAACTGACCAATGTGAAATATGGTAAATATGTCATGACTATATTTTATTAGAATAGAAATTGTAAACAAATAATGGATCTCCTACCATCTTACGGAGTGACCACCAACAAGATGTGTCATGCTATGTCCATGAAATAAAGGCTGTTAAATGAGTAACAGAATGAAAGAATTTAGGGTGTTCGGGTGGCGGGGAAGGAGAGGGAGAGCATTAGGACAAATAACTAATGCATGCAGGGCTTAAAACCTAAATGACAGGTTGATAGGTGCAGCAAACCACCATGGCAAATACCTGTGTAACA
Organism: Homo sapiens; assembly: GCF_000001405.40. Lineage (NCBI taxonomy): Eukaryota > Metazoa > Chordata > Mammalia > Primates > Hominidae > Homo > Homo sapiens. The sequence goes on along the minus strand of NC_000006.12, from coordinate 95,327,291 downwards.
AACCTGCACGTTCAGCACATGTATCCCAGAATGTAAAGAAAAATAAAAAAATAAATAAATAAAAAAGAATTTCGAGTGTTTGCCCTTTTCTGTTTTCTTGATGAAATGCAGAAAAATAATCTTTGTTTTTTGTGGGGGAGACAGGGATGGTTGCTGTATTGACATTTCTTTTGGTTCTATATATGTATATGAAAGCTAAATTTAGGACTTATTGACAAAATTCAATAGCCCTTACAATCATACTTTGAATTTGTTTAAAGCACCTAACAATACTAAAATACTTTTCAACACTTCTGAAAGAATAGCAATACTCGATAGAAACAAATCAGATATTAAATGTACTGACATTTTGTTTGTTTGTTTGTTTGCTTAAGATAGGGTCTTAGTTTGTTGCCCAGGCTGGTTTAGTGGCAAGATTATGGCTCATTGCACCCTTAGCCTCCCTGAGCTAAGATGATCCTCCTGCCTCAGCCTCCCAAGTAGCTGGGACTACAGGCATGCACCACCACACCTGGCTAATTTTGTATTTTCTTTTTTTATAGAGATGGGGTTTCCCCATGTTGCTCAGGCTGGTCTCAAACTCCTGGGCTCAAGTGATCGACCTGTTTCAGACTCCCAAAGTACTAGGATTACAGGTATGAGCCACCATGCCTGGCCTGAATTTTTAAAAGAAAGTTGTTGGGCTCTATCATCTTAAAGTACATTTTTGTTCTTTACAGAAGTGCCCCCAAATTTAAACATGCATTTTCTTCCTTCAGTTTCTCTACATACACTATTCTGAATAGCAAACTTAGATTCCAGATACTTTAGCCCCAAATTTCTAAAAACCAATATCTAGAATTGTGACTAACACAGCTGTAGACATGATTTAGATGTAGTTTACAGTATTGAACAGCATGTTCCATAGGTTACATCCCCCAAGATACACCATCTAATCTCAAAACTCACCAAATGCCATCAATAAAGTAGGAAGGGAAGTTAATTACAGGCTCCTATTTAGTGTCCCTCTGCCACTGGTGGCCCATTATAATGAATCATTTTTCAAATTGAGAAGAGATTGACAGACATTTTGTAAACTTTTCACTCCCTATGTCTTCCCTGTGTAATAAATGCCTGCTGCACACTGGGAAAGTGATTAAATATCAATTTCACAGAAACCTGGGAATAGTGTTTAAAAGACTAATGAGATGCTATTTTTACTGCTTAGGTACTGTGACTCCCCCATGATTCAGAACGCCTGTCATTCTAATTAGTCATCATTTGGCCAGGCTCTTTTTTCTTTCTTTCTTTCTCTTTCTCTTCCTTAAAGGTCCTTAATTGGGTTATTTAAGAACTTTAAACTTGGTACCTCACTGGGAGGAATGTTCTTATAAGATTAATATGATTGCCATGTTACATTTTTTTAACTTTTTTTACACCAAATGTAGCACCAATTTTATTTGAAAAAAAACATTTGTAATAAATCCATTTCCACCTAATCTTATTGCCAATATAATACTTGCTTTATTAAAAAATAACTTTTTAAAATAACATGAAAAGGATCTCTTCTACCAAAATTATGACTATACCCTTATATTTGATACACATTTGAAATTATTCTATTATTCTATTTGAGTAAAAGGAACACAGTCTATCTCCTGTAATATTAAGTGAAGTAGAACTAGTTCCTTAAAGGTGAAAGCAGACAAATTCTTTCTCCAACATTAAAATGAATTGACTACTTACAATAGTTAAAGTGTTCTAATTTCAGAAGAATTTTTAGAACTATATTTTTTTCACTGAGCTTAGATATATCACAATCATTTTAAAGACAGCCAGAGAGCCAAGAGTAATCTTTTCAGGAACAAGTAGATTTCTATCTGCCCAAAAAGATATAACCATTTTTACTCATAAATACTTTCAAAACAATCCTCAAATTTCTGGAGTAAAATACATACATTATAGAATTATTTAACTTCAGAGGTAGAATAAAACCTAAGACAGTAATTTATTTCATTCTCCCATCCAGTGCTTTATATCCTCCCTATTATGACCTCAAAAAGTTGGAGGTATGTTTTGCCTCTCCTCCACTGTTTTAGCGGATTTTGAGATCTAAGTGAAAATTGACATTTATCTTTACCAAAGTTCTTGTTAGACATGGCCCATCAATCTAATTTCCAAAGGTGTTTTTAATCCTTCGCTTCCAGCCTTGTATCAACTTAAACATATTTGAGGATGCCACTAATGTCTCTGCCAAGTCTTTGACAAAAATTCTGAAGAGGATAGTGCTATAACATTGACCCATTCATAAAACGAAATGTCTGGTTGATTAACTTGAGTATTTTCTTCCAACCTTGTATTTCTCAATTTTTTTTCACAAGTTTATTATGAGAGGCTTTGAAACATGCATTGTAAAAAAAATCTAGAAATACCTGGAAATCTAGAAAGTCCTCTCATATTCTAATAACTCCAATTGAAAGTCAAGTGAGGTCTGACACCAGAGATTTTTTGTGAAATATTTAAAAGTTGGTACATTTATCTGTTTCCCTCCTTGTGGCTTTTTCCCCCCATTGTTCATATCTACTCAACATAGGCATAGGCCAACAATATTATCTGTAAGTGTCTCTGTGCTCTCTTATAAGAATCACAGAGAGAAAAAAAGACACTAGTACCTTCACAGGAGCTAAGTTCTCTTACAATCACGTTAGCACTAACAATTACCTCAATCTTACCTCTTTTCAAAGTGAAATCTGAATTCTAAAAATATACACCAAGAGAATACATGAATCACGATTTCCTTTTGTACAATATAAAACTAAATACTCGTGAAGGAAATATAACAAAAAAAACCTTAAACAAAAAAAAATTGTAACGTTGAACTAAAAAAATGAAGAACTATGAACACATTGCTTTGCTATCTATTTAAAATTTTCAGATTTTTTGGAGTTATTGTTTTTCAAACCATGTTATCAACAATTGATGTATTAGAAATAAATGAAAACAATAGGTAAAAGCTATGTTACTTTTGAAAAATAGCAAAATCGGAATACGCACACACATACACACATGCACATGTATATATACCTCTTAGATATGTAAATGGATTGGGTCATATATTAGGTATGTTTTCAGCAGTGCTTTGGATTATAGAACATACAAATCCTATTACAAAATAAACTGGTGAAGATAGTACATTAGTCTGAATAATCTATTTTGAGATTTTCCCTTTTGGTTAACTGCTAATTACTGAGATATTTCTCCAAATTGGGCCATTTGGAAAGATGTATGCAAAACACACAGATTTTACCAACTCATGAGATTTGGTGCAGCTGCTATATTTTCTTAAATTTACCTCATGAGAATCAGCAGCTTAAGTAAGATGTCTTATGACATAACTTTTTTACTATATCTTTTTGTTTTCATATCATCTATAGGTGACTAGAATAATCTACTAACTATGCTGAAAGTTGAGATGTCGAAGTAGATTTCACCAACCAAATCGCTTTTTCCCTTGAGCAATCTAATATTATAATTATATAAAAACTATGACAAAATTTTCACATGTCTAATCAGGTCAGAACTATTGAAAAACCTCTCTGCTTTTTAAGTCTGAGAAGCTAGAGTTCCACAGGTCTTTGGCAAACTTATTTCCTAGTTTTGCACGGTACTGATTCTGATCCCTGTGTATGTGATCACGATTATTTTTTTAAAATCTCGAAAATTCCAGCACTTAGTTTTAGTTCTCAAAGTACTATGCTCTGCATCTGAATTAAATTCAAAATGAAGATATAAACACATTTTCAAAGATGGTATGAAAAATCAAATGATAATAACCTAAGTGTGATCATGATTTTTAGTAAAAGTCTTCTCTCTCCTGCACCTGTAATTGTAACCATCTTTTCCTCTTAATTATTAGAGCTAAAACCATAAAAACCCCAGAAGAAAACCTAGGCAATACCATTCAGGACATAGGCATGGGCAAGGACTTCATGACTAAAACACCGAAAGCAATGGCAACAAAAGCCAAAATTGACAAATGGGATCTAATTAAACTAAAGAGCTTCTGCACAGCCAAAGAAACTGTCATCAGAGTGAACAGACAACCTACAGAATGGGAGAAACTTTTTGCAATCTACCCATCTGACAAAGGGCTAATTATCCAGAATCTACAAAGAACTTAAACAAATTTACAAGAAAATATCAAACAACCCCATCAAAAAGTGGGCGAAGGATAGGAACAGACACTTCTCAAAAGAAGACATTTATGCAGCCAAAAGATACATGAAAAAATGCTCATCATCACTGGCCATCAGAGAAATGCAAATCAAAACCACAATGAGATACCATCTCACACCAGTTAGAATGGCAATCATTAAAAAGTCAGAAAACAACAGGTGCTGGAGAGGATGTGGAGAAATAGGAATACTTTTACACTGTTGGTGGAAGTGTAAATTAGTTCAATCATTGTGGAAGACAGTGTGGTGATCCCTCAAGGATCTAGAACTAGAAATACCATTTGACCCAGCCATCCCATTACTGGGTATATACCCAAAGGATTATAAATCATGCTGCTATAAAGACACATGCACACATATGTTTATCATGGCACTATTCACAACAGCAAAGACTTGGAACCAACCCAAATGTCCATCAATGATAGACTGGATTAAGAAAATATGGCACATATACACCATGGAATACTATGCAGCCATAAAAAAGAATGATTTCATGTCCTTTGTAGGGACGTGGATGAAGCTGGAAACCATCATTCTGAGCAAACTATCGCAAGGACAGAAAACCAAACACCCCATGTTCTCACTCATAGGTAGGAATTGAACAATTAGAACACTTGGACACAGGGTGGGGAACTTCACACACCGGGGCCTGTCGTGGGGTGGGGGTGTGGGGTGGGATAGCATTAGGAGAAATACATAATGTAAATAACGAGTTAATGGGTGCAGCACACCAACATGGCACATGTATACATACGTAAGAAATCTGCACGTTGTGCACATGTACCCTATAACTTAAAGTATAATAATAATAAAAAGAATGTTATGAACTTTTCCTGATATTCAGGTTTTTAGAATTTCCCCACATATAATTCAATTAATTGCATCAAATTTGCTTAATTGAGTACTGCCTAAGAGAATAATTGCATTCTTATTGTTCTTCTCAATCTAGAGGATAAACTAGAGGATTTAATAAGGGAACTGTTTCAGTAGGAGAGAACTTATTGTTTTTATTTGCAAAAATGTACATTGACTTGAGTACTTTTTATGCTCATTACAGTAATTGTGTGAATGTTCCCAATAGACTATACACATTTTTAATATAATATTTTGAGATAAAAGGTCATTGGTTAAAAAAAGTAAGAAATAATTTGGTAAATGACCAGATGTAAACTAATGGAAGAAGAGAATGTTTAAATGGAAGATCAATTTCACAAAGCAATCAATTCCATATGTCCTATAAGGTTATGCTAATTGTATTCATTACTTCATAATTTTAGGGGTATAGAGAAACAATACAGACAAAATAGCCAAGGAAATTAAAACACTTAAAGTGATGGATATGATTTTCCATATATAAAAATTGTTTTTTTTTCTAAATATCCTTATCGTTGGCCGTTCATTTATTTCAGGGACAAAGGCATGGGATTTTCTTGAAGTAATATCTCAATTATATTTTCATAAACATTTCCAACAACTGATAAATGAAAGTAGTGGGGAAACAAGATGGTACTTATTTGGATAGTGGCTGAGAGTTGATTTGTTGCTTGCTCAGTGCTCCAATTCGACATCTTCTTTTGTCTGTATACTATTGGAAAACACAATCAAGATGTTCTAATCATTTTAGCATTCTTAGGTTTCTAGCAAGTGTACAATATATTATGAACAGATGTTCAGCTTAGCGGGAAGTCTCACTAAAGACCTGAAATCCTGAGCCTTTCCAGAAAATGTATAGCATCTGGCATGGTGGAAATAGAACTGATCTCATTTACTCATCCACAGAATGGTACTCCTGTGTGTTTAAATGGTATGACTCACTTTCCTGGGGATGACTTAACTCAACTTTTCTCATGAGAAATAACTTAGAATTGTCAGGAAAAATATTTAAAATGAAGAAAACAGCATCATATGTTAAGGCCATGGCTGGCAGCAGTATTTCCCTTATTTTGATTTCAGGTTAATGACTGGTACTGTCAGAATACTGTATTTTAATTCAGATCTGTTTCACATATACTCTATGGAACAAGTTGAATTTCAAAGAATTAGCTATTTTACTGATGTTCTTATCCTTCCAAGAGTCACATTCCGCTTTAGAGTGCAATTAAAATTGCTTTAATTTGTCTTTTTAAAATGTCAGGTACGTATTTATAGAACTATGCGATTTATACTTCTGTGATTTTTTTTAAACCAGACTCAAATATTTGAAGATTTTCAAAACTCTGCTGCAACAGCATGCTTCTGTAATACTTACACCTTTCCATTCTGTTGGCCTGAGATTCAGCTGTATAGAAACAGTAAATTGTTTTATGTGAAGATATAAACCAATATTACATAATGATTAGAAATAATCATTAGTTTTCTATTATTAAATTGAGAAGCAGCATCACTAGTATTTGAAAGAGTAGAATAGAGGTGTTATTTTATAATATCCTTAATACTTTCTAGAAACTCTTAAAGCATTTTAAACATACAGATTATTTTTCTTTCTGATGTTCAGCATATTCATTGTTTAAGACAAACATATTAATGTAGGAGAGAGAGGGGAAAAACAAGGATTCCCACAGTCAGTTTTGAAAGAAGTGATAGCAGATTTTCAAAAATTGCTTGACCTGAGATGTGATTGGTCCTTTTGTCAATAGAAATAAAAATGCCCTCGAACTCTAGAACAATGTTCCTACAAACCAAGAAATATAATGGAAGCCCAGGAAAGGTAGAAATAAATAAATAGAATAATAGTGAATGGACAGAGGAAAAATCAATGATGTGATGCAAATTAAATAACAATTAGAAATGGAGGAAGTAGAAAGTGAAGGAGCATCTGTGGAAAGCAAAGGCAGTGAAAGTGAGTAGAAAAGTCTTCAGGACTTATCCCCCTTCTGGAAGGGTGAGAAAAAATTTCATATGTGTCAGATTCAATCTAATAAAATACTCCAGGGCATTTAAATATTCATTCTTTGCTATAATATAGCCAATGACTAAACATTAAGTGTTCACACAATCCTTTTATTTTGTAGTTTGCCTCCTAGACAGAAAAAATATATAGAGATGGCTATAGTATATAATAATACATCATAAAACATGGGTTTAGGATTGGTATAACTAGAAGTGGAGAAAACTCTGGTTTAATCAAAATTAAAGTGTATTTCCCTTTCACATAGAGTTCCACATCAGCTTTCCAGGTTGATAATGATGACTGCATTATTATCAGGCACTCAAGCACTGTCTACCTTTTTAGTCATCATACTCAAACACTGGATTTTAAGTGTCTTTCAAAGCAGCTCCAGTCACTATGTCTGATTGCAACTAGTAAAAAGGAGGAAAAGAGAAGGAATTGGACATGCTCACTTTTTAAAAAGATGTTTCCTAGAAGTTGCTTATGCCAATTCTGTTCACAACCCATTGCCCAAAATTTAATTTCTTACAGATACCCTAGTTGCAATGAGGATCGGATATCATAGCATTTTTTCCAGGTGGCCATATTCTCAGATAATAAATAAGAAGGATACCCCTGTAGAAGGAGAGACTAGCATTTGCAAGACAAATAACAACAACTATCATATATGTATTTTAAAAATATGTGCCAAATATGAGTAAAGAGAAATTAGGAAAAATAATGTATAACTTTTACAGTGCAATTTGGAGACAATCACACATGAATAGAAATTAGTGAAAATATGACTATTGAAGATTAGCAAAATTTTACATAAGCTCAAAACTTATAGTGTTACAATTAAATATAAAAATTCAAAATGATTGAAAATTGCCAATGAATGTTATACTCTGTGTTATTCATTTGGAAAACTTTATAAAATTGGTCTCAGGAGATTAGAAATTGTCCTGTCTCTGTCCCAATCTTAATTGGAATTTTGAAATATTTTTATGGACAAATGCAACTGAATAAGCCATGATTTTTCCCAAACACAATTTTGCCACTCTAATCATTAGAAAGCAAAATTTGGTGGCCCATCAAAAAGAATAAATAAATTATGAAGCTGCAATATAATATTGTACCCTTTTCAGAAAACTGATTTCTAAATTCAATCTAGACCCTTAGTAGTTTGGCAATGCCAGTGAGGTTGGTCTATTTATTATACTTATGATATTATAGCTTAGCATTTCATTGTGAATTGTCTTCTCAATATTTAGAGAAATAGGTTCAGTTGGACCACTCTTGCGTGCAGTGTTTCATCAGACACAATCTTGAGTTTTGCAAATGTAAATAATCTTAAAAGCCATGATTTTCCATGGTGAAGACAAACGTGCACACCCAAGAAGCACTTGAAAAGTACATTTTGACTTCATATATCCCCCACCTGGTTGTGAGTGTGAGGGCAGAGGTGGAGGGATAGTGCAGCGTGTGATTTAAACTTTTATTCAATAATATTCACAATATAATTTGCCTTACTCTACTCAATTTTCACTTGATTTATCTAGTTGAGAATGGTTTTATATAAATTTAGTCTCAGTGATTTATTTACTCATTTAGATGTCATCTATACATACAAAAATTGATCTACCTATCAATCTATCTATATGCATTCATCCCTCTTTCTATCACTCTATACTAAACTAGGAATCAGTTGAAGGAACTGTCTCTATTCCTTCCCAAATCTCCTGTGTACAGTTACCACAAATAACCCCCATGCTTATCCAACCCTACTGTTGCTCAAGTAGAATGTCACTATCCCGCCCAACACCCTCCATCTCTCAAATAGTCCTGAAGACCAAAGTAGCTGTCACTCAGGCCTGGTCCTGAATCTGCCCCTTCTTCTCTGTGGGCTCCCATACTGGGGTACATGGTTCTAAATGTTTTCTGGTTCTCAGTACCTTTCATATCTATAATTCACAGGACTGAATTGAGATGAGCTTCAAAGTGTGTGCCACAATGGAGCCAAAATCAGTGATGGGCAGATGGCAAGAATCAGAACAGATGGAAAACTGAAATCAGATTATCAGAGACAGAATAGAGTACTTGATTAATTTAAGGAAAAGATACGTCAAGGGAATAAAGGGTTACCATTTCTCTCATTCTTTCTCTGTTTTTCTCTCTGTCTCTTTCTCTTATATACTTTTATTTAATTTCAGGTTCAGGGAAGCTGCAAATTAAAACAAAATAAAAAATGTAGTTGTCAAAATTGAAATTAAAAACAGTAATGTTTTCTCACATTTTTGCTTAATAAATAGTTAAAGACCACAATTTTGCTCCCAGTTTTATGCTTTCCCCTTGCTCCCCTAAAACAATCACAATCTGGATTGTGTTACTGTTATGTATTCAGGAAGATGTTTACCCTTTTTAATGTATTCATTAAATATAACTTGACTTTAATATTTTTATTCCTTTTAATTTGTTTTGTGTTAAGCATTCTTTGAAAAGTTAAGAATATCATTTAAACAACAATCACTTCTTATTAAATTCTAGTGGGAATAACGATGCCAATAATCAATTATCAACTTTTAAAACATCTTGAAATAAAATAAAATATTTAAAATATGACATGTAGACAAGGAGTGTCTGATAATAACAATGATTGTATTAGAAGTAAATGGAGCATTATATGGCACAAAACATGTATGTGTTGGTTAGAAGGGCAAGGAAATTGAGCAAGGAATTTGAATCTGTCAGAAGTGCTCATATGTAGAAGAATCCCCAGCACAGACAGGTTGTATTAAAAAAAAAAAAAAAACTTCAAGATATCCTTTTCCCAGCAGGTTATCTGCTTCTAAGATTCAATTTTTTCTATTCTGTGAAACTGAACGGAGGTTTTGATCCTAATCTTTATTTTTATGCAGGCTTCCATTTGTCCTAATCTTAACAAGTTACCAAATACTTTGTTTATCATGGAGACATTTTTTGTAGCCTGTTTTGTAGCTGATCCACATAAAGTTCAATTATCTTGTATTCCTGATGTTGTTCACTACTTGCTAGAGCAATTCAGACAGATATCCATCTCTTTGTTACCATCAGCACCTACTAAGTCAATCCAAGTACCTAGTTGTTGCCCATTTGATGGTTTGACACTGCTAATCCTGCCACTCTGATTAACCCTGCCATTAGGTTTGGCTCTACAACAAGGCTCTCACCCAATTCCACTGACATTGTGCTAGTGATGCAGAAATAATAGATAATGTTTTAAATGCTGCTGACAAGGCAAAGGACATTGATAATGAGAGTAAAGAAGTTAACTTATTGAAGAGCAAGAAGATTACTTGAAAGAAGGCTGATTCAGCCTTCGATTCACTAATTAATTTTTGAAAGACAGTGTCATGGAGCCCAGGAGGTCATGGAGCTCAACATTCTTCATTGCAGTTTAATAAGAAAGAAGTAAATGGAAACAAAAACTTGAAATCTGAGACTTTCTCAATATAACAAGTTTCACCTATCTTATGGAGCTAATATTTAGTCTGCCGTAAGTTCAACAGAACAAAGATCAAGCACCACAGAACAAAAATTGATACTTATTATGATGCCCTTTGGCCAAAACGTGTTGTGTTTACTAAGGCAGAGAAGTTTACACAATATTTTTTGAATTATATTTTTTCTCTCAAGAAATGTTTTAACATTAACATTTCATGAAGATTCAATCCCTTGAATTTTTTCTTATTATCCACTTAGCCAGAACTCCCAAGACTGACAAAAAATATTTACCAATGTTTAACTCACAGAATATTTTAATGTATACCTTCCAAAAAAGAGTCCACTGTTGCCAAGGGTCAATTTTGAACTTTTGAAATATCATGAAATAAAATGGAATGAAGTATTTAAAACGTGAATTGGCATTTTAAATGATCTGAATGAATGGCTGATGTAAGTGAATTGACAGTGCTTAAATTATGCATTATAACAGTTATGATTGTCAAAAATTAATTATGCATACTTTTTGATTAACATGAGTAGAATAAAATGTACATGTACACGTTATTCAGAAATTTAATTTCTTGAATATTAGTTAAAATTTCTTCCATTTTTGTATTTTATTCTTAGATTGAACAATATATTTACCAAATCCATTATCAAGTCATGATAGTTTCAATTTTTAAATGATTTAGGCATTCTTCTTTCACTCCTCATAATTTTGTAAGAATTTTAACTTTATACTATGATTAAGAAGGTCTACTATTCTATTTTCTTATTTTGATGGAGTATAGTTATTTGTCAGTAAAATTTTTGCATTTATTTATTGTAATACAGATTATGTTCAACGTGTTATTAGGATGTTAGCTAAAATTTCAGTCAAAACACAGAATGAGTTTAACCCAGTTAATGCTTAAAAAGAAATAAATTTATTTGTATTCAAATAGCACCATTAAACTTTTTGTAGAAAAAATGGAGAATAAAACAAATACATTTTAATGGTCGCTATACTGGAAAAACTTTGCAATGATAGGTATAAAAAGTGCAGTTCTGTAGTCCTTTTTAAAGATGTCTCGTTTTATAAAATGGTAAAATTATATCATTGATTATAGCTAGAAAAAGAAACATGTTAGTAAAGTTTCACAGGAAATATTATGGAATTTGTTTATCTGTTAACGTTTTCTTAAATTCAATAAGAAAACATGAATTAAAACAATAAAAACAAAACAACTGGAAATGGCATCTCACATTCCTGTCTCCAACACACAGGACAAACTACAGAGAGGAAAGGCCAAAGACCCAAGAGCAAGATTCATGAACTGTGATGAATGAAAGACAGAAAGACCTCAAGGATCTCACAGAAGATTTCATACCCTGCTTATTAGTAACACTGGTAGTGGGATTTTTTTTCCAGGAAATTTTAAAAGAAATTTTAAATTTTAAAAGAAATCTTAGAAATCAGTTGGTGATTAGTGGAAAGTCTGAACTTTCAGCAATTGCAGATGAAAGATTGGGAATTCAGTAGAATTAACAAGGAGGAGGGATGTATATCCAAGTACAAGCAATAGATCACTGAAGAAAATCAGCCAAACCCAGAAATAGACAAATTCAGATTGCAACTGCATAGGCAAGATTCCTAGTGTTTAGAATGTATTGAGAACAGCATTTAGAATGTATTGAGCGCTGATTATATGCCAGACCCTCTACTATTTTCTATTCTTACATTAGCTGACCAATTGCTCATTGCATTTGTATGGAAAGGTTGCTTTTATTCACACCTTATAAATTAGAAAAGTAAGAGTTTGAGAGATGGCAAGTAACATAACCAAGGAACTGACTGATCATTCTAGCAAAGAAAAAGAAAATTCCTATTCTTTTTTAAAAAAATTATCTTTGTTTTATATTTGTATAAATTTAAGGAATACAAGTATAATTTTGTTACATGAATAAGTTACATAATGGTGAAGTCAGGGCGTTTAGTGTATTCATAACCTGAATAATGCATATTGTACCCATTAATTTATTACCCCCACCAATTCCTCTCCCACTCCCCTGTCCTTTGAGGTCTTTTGTCTATCCTCCCATGCTCTATGTTCATGTACACACATTATTTAGCTCCCACTTATAAGTGAGAACATGCAGTATTTTTATTTCTGTTTCTGAGTTGTTTCACTGAAGATCATGGCCTCCAGTTCCATCCATGTTGCAGCAAAAGACACAATTTTATTCTTTTTTATGGCCGAGTAGTATTTTATTGTGTATATATATCACATTTTCTTTATCCAGTCTTCTGTTGATGGACACTTTGGTTGATTCTATATTTTTGCTATTGCGAATAGTGCTGTGATAAACATATGAGTGCAGTTATCTTTTTAGTACAATGATTTCTTTTCCTTCCTTTGGGTAAATACCCAGTAGTGGAATTGCTGAATCAAATGGTAACTTTATTTTTAGTTGTTTGATAAATCTCCATTCAGTTTTCCATAGAGGTTAATTTATATTCCCACCAACAGTGTAAGTTCTAAATTTTCTCCAGTTCCTCACCAACATCTGTTATTTTTTGTAGTTTTAATAATGAGATTCTGCATAGGGGTAAGATGATATGTCATTGAGGTTTTAATTTGCATTTCTTTGATGATTAGTGATAATGAACATTTTTTCATATGCCTGTTGGCCATTTGTCTATCTTCTTTTGAAGAATGTCTGTCATGTCCTTTGTACACTTTTAATGGGATTATTTGTATTTTGTTGTTGTTGAATTGTTTGAATTCCCTGTAAATTCTGGATATTAGTCCCCTGTCGAATGCATAGGTTGCAAATATTTTCTTCCATTCTGTGGGTTGTCTGTTCACTCTGATATTTCTTTTGTGATGTCCAAGATTTTTAGTTTAATTAAGTCCAATTTGTCTATTTTTGCTTTGTTGCCTGTGCTTTTGAGGTCTTGGTCAGGAATTATTTGCCTAGATCAATGTTCAGAAGAGTTTTCCCTTGGTTTTCTTCTAGTATTCTTATAGTTTCAGGTCTTACATTTAAGTGTTTACTCCATCTTGAGTTGATTTTTCTATATGGTGAGAGAGATCCAGTTTCATTCTTCTGCATATGGCAATCCAATATTCTAATGTTATTTATCGAAAAGCATGTCCTTTCTCATGTGTATATTCTTGTGACATTGTTAAAGGTCAGTTTGCTGTAAGTATACGTTATTTCTGGGTCCTCTATTCGGTTTCATTTATCTATATGTGGTTTTTTATACCAGTACGATGCTGTTCTGGTTACTGTAGCCTTGTAGTGTGATTTTAAGTCACGTGAATGTGATGATTTCAGCTTCCTTCTTTTTGCTTACGATTGCTTTGGCAATTTGAGCTCTTTTTTGATTCTATATGAATTTTAGTATTGTTTTTTCTAATTAGGTAAAAAACTGTCTTGGCAATTTGATAGAAATTGTGTCAATTAGGGTATCTTTCATCAATGTGTTGTAGTTCTTACAGAAATGTTTCACCTCCTTGGTTAAATATATTCCTAGCTTTTTTGTTTGTTTGTTTGTTTCAAAGCTTTTCTTGTTAGTATGCTGAAGAACTTTCCCTTCGTGATACAGCCTCTTCAGCTCAAGGTTTCACCATTACTCAGTGAAGAAACATTAATGCAAGATTCATATTTTGTTGAATTTCACTGCTTAAGTGACTATATTATAAAGTAAAATTAATTCTTATTGCATGTTGTCTACTAAATTACTTACAATTATGGTTTCTGTCATCTTTATTAATAATCAAGTTAGAGTATCCTTTTAAGTATTGCTATATATGGAGTGATGTCTTACCTGGATCTACTTTATATAGAAGTCAAGATTCTGATTCCAGTAGGAGCTGACTTGGAAAGATACAATTATAACAAAATACTAGCTGAATAAGGTCTGCATTTAAAACATAAATTAATTAAGCTTCTTTTGTCACGCAGTGATGTTCTGCAGACTATTATTTCTGAAAGCAATTCACTTAATTATTATAGAACCAAAGTCGAGTATGTTGCCAAATAGAACAAATAAAAAATGAGGCATATAGGCAGCTCTAGACAAGGTCTGGAATGGCTATTTACCAACCAGATTGGAAATATAAGAAAAACCTGTATCATGATTATTTAACAAAAGTATAAAACTGATAGAGGAAAATCTCAATGGCTAGACAGCATGGTGAAAAAGAATGAACTAGTTTACCAGTCTCCAAAGCTCTTCTCTAGTGATTAATGCAGAAGATGATAACTATAAAGAAAAAAAAAATGAGATTCAGGATTTCAGGATGATCCTTTCTTCTTAGATTAACTTTTTAAAAATGAGAAAAAATCTCTATTAGAACCAATCAAATTATGTTTAAAAGCCTGTGTTTTTCCTGAAGAGTATTTATATGAAAAATTTATTTTTTATTTAATACTTGCAAGCTTAAGCATTCCCTTTATAGATATGGTTTTATGTGCAAGATATATTTATGCACAAAATTTATATTCATTATTCACTAATCATTTCAGACTTATAAATGCACTTATAATAATTGCATTTGCTTTTATAATGTCCTTATGCAATATGTAAGAGATAAGCTAATCAGTGTTGCCCTGCTCTGGTCACTGCTACAATCATCATCACCAACATGCTAGTTTTCTGATCAAGACCTTGACAGCCTTTGCACTAATTACTGCTCCTAACCATAATGACTAATATATTTATTACAGTTAAGTTGGAGGCAACAATATGGTAAGTACTGAAATTTAAAGTGATTTTTAATAATACAGGTGACAATTCCATTTTCTTAATTTAAAATTCCCCTGTTATTTTATTATGATAATTAGGGTAAACTAACATTAATGGCAAGTTAGTAAACACAGTCAGATGAATCCATAGTTGGCCTATTGTTTTGTAAAGCCTGATGACAATTACTAACATACATCGGGTAACCAATCATTTAATAACCTGCTAGCCACATTAATGAATGGTTTACATATGCTGTCTCATAAACTCCTTACAGCAATCCTAAGTAGGTTTGGTGATTATCATTTTCACTTTACAAATGGAGAAACTGAGGTTCAGTGATATTGGAAAAAAATGCCTACTTTACACAGTCAAAGATAGGGGAGCCAGGATTAGATTATTGATTGAACTTTGGCTTTCGGAATTCTGTACAGACCACACTTATGCTACCATGAGAGCCTAACATGAGCAAATGATAGAATAAATGGGGGAAAATTCTCATTTCAAAAGATCCATTTAATGATTTTGCATTTTATTTTCAATAATCACTTAAAAAGAGTTGTTTGATTTTCATAAGCAGCATCGTGGGGTGAACAAGAGCTCAGACTCCAGTGCTATACTGCCTGGACTCCAAACCTAGCTCAATAAGTTACTTTATTGCTGTGTAACCTTGAGTAGGTTACTTAACCTCTCCCTTCCTGTAACAAGGTTGTTACAAGGATTAAACCAACCAAAGTACTTAGACAGTAGTTGGCATAAGTAAATTAACCACCTAGGTTATTAATATCTCAAGTAATATTTGGAACACTAAATGGGTATTGATACAAAATGTCTGGAATACATTGCTAAATGATAATATCTGCTGCGAACTTAATACATTTATATGACTTCTTCGTATACAGAAATGGAAGTTTTAGAGGAGTGGGATTACAGCAAAAGTCTGTAATCACAAAGTTTTCAGTGCAGAGTGGTGACACAGTTTTCCTAAGCAGTTTGAAAATTTAAAAAATTAAGGGTAGAATCCCAGGAATTTAAGCCTCGTAGTTTTGCTTTCTAGAATCAGTAAGTGTTCAAACAGAAAAGGCAGGTGTTGAAATGACAAACAGAATGGTAAATTTTCATGTAATGCATATAAATTTGCAGACAAACTTTTCAAGTAACATGCACTTATATTTAATGTAGTTTTTGATGAATATTTAATTGTTCAGGCTGTTGTGGCATCACCTGAATCTGTTCCTATGTACATTGCTATAAAGCTTTTTATTTTGAATGGATTTTGTGAATAGGTATGCTTTGCATACATGGGCCCTGTCTATGGTCATTAAGTTAAGGGGTGTGAGGGGCACCGTAACAAAACATAAGGAATTATTTGTGGGCTAGCTTCTCCCCACTATATAATCATTCACAACTAATTACGTTTGCTTCCCCTTCATGAAGGACGATTGCACACTTATAAAAATATACTGATTATACTTTCTACTTAGAACAAAACCAGAGTAAAGCTTTATATAATAGAAAGCAGTTCCTTCGTGATAATAGCCTAAAATTATTTTCCCTCTGACAGGGAGTATTGAAACATCCTTGGATTAGATTTAAATCCCCACACTTCACTAATGATGAACCTACTTATCTTTTTATAATTCACAAGACTCCTAAAAAGAATCAGGAGTCAGGAATGGAATCTTTGACCTAGTCATGTGGTACATTGGTATAAAATCACATTTCATGTTTAGACTTCTTCATTAAAATTAGCATATCTGAAATTGTAATAATTATAAATTTTCTTTTAGTGTACTATATATACTTAAATTTTATATACTTTATAACCAAATAATTTTCTTTCTCCAAGAAGCTTCTTGTTATTTTTATAATATTAAATTTTGTTCAGAACTACAACTTATTTTCTCTTCATATTTTATAGGTTCTTCTGACCACTCCTTGACTTTATCTTGTTATTTACGTTTTTAAACAAAAGGAACCAACACATAATTGACTAACTAATAAAAAAAGTGGTGCTCAAAATATAGTTTGAAAGGTTGAGTTTAACTCTTTTTCAAAATTTAGTGACAGTGTTTGAACTAAAGAGAAAATTCTCAGAGATGCCTCATTCACCTTACATTTATTCATCTTCTCAGGGGAAGATTACAATTTCTTTAACTTGCATTGTGTCACAGTTTCGAGTTGCTTTTATACACATTCTCTTTATTATGCAAAAGTGGGAGCTTGTGCTAAGCACTAGCTGTGACCAAGGGAGGCCATGACTCTTTTGCTATACCTGGCACAGAGGAGACAACTGCATCCTCCAGACTGGCAGAAAAATATATCCGTGCGTGCTGGTGGCCAGCTGGCTGTCTTGTCCAGAGATGGTCCTGCTCAGATCCATGGATGTAGGACAATGCTGGGTTGTACTTCCTCCTAAGAAGAGAAGCAGGTGCTTTAGGCAGTTAAGAAACAGAGGTGGGGTCAAAAAGCAAAGTAGGGATAAAACTTGATTCCATAAGCTTGATTCCTACTCAGAGCAAGCATTCAGGCTGGGATTGCTCTGAGATCCAGTCCCAAGCATTACATTAGACCTCTCATAGCTCAGAATTGACCATGTTTGTGTCCACTTACACCCAAAACCCAAGCTTATCTTCTGTTGCCTCACCCCAAAATATCTCTCAGCGTTATCCTTTGGATGATAAAAATTGGCTACTTTTCATCACTTTAGCACTCTGCTTTTTCCACCACATTTTCTTTGTCTACATGTCTTCTCTCTGGCTGGAGTTTCACTTCCTAGGCCTCCAGTCCTCCTTGAAGTACAAAATTCACAGCTGGAGAAATCCTACCTACCCTTACAAGAAGCAATATGCCTCTGTTCTGAATGTCCATTGCTCAATGGAGATTTATGTACACAAATTACTATACCCTGATTTTTCTTTTTATTAAAAGCCAAGTCTTAGAGACATTATTTATTCACCTTCATATTGTGCTGCACAGAATATCACAAATGCAGTACATATGGAGAAAAGATAGCCTTATATACAGGTCTAAGTTCAAATTTGAGTGCTGTCATTTATTAGCAACATGAGCTTAAGTAAATTTTTGAACTTTTGGTAAATTTTTTTCTCATATAATTGTGAATTATAATACCTATCTTACTAGGGTATTGAATAGTTAAATTATAAAAGATGTATGTAAAATATATATAGCACTACTTAGAACACAATGTTTCTATTTCTTCTCTTGTACCTCCCTTCTTCACTATTTTTTCTCCAAATTAAATGACTATTTGCTCAATTAACCTTGAGCTATCACAGCACAATGAAGCAGCTGCTCTGTTGAACTAAAAGCAATTGCTTAAAATAGTGTTAATCTCTGTAAAAAAAAAAATCATTTTAGTCATGCCTATTGTATTAAAAATACTGACCATAACCCCCCCTACCAAAAAAAAAAAAAAAAAAAGAAAAGAAAAATAGAGTCGACTTTCTCACTGGGGCTATTTTTATTTTTAAATTGTTAGACTCAAGAGTGACTTTGATTTATTTATGACTTCTGTTTTTATGACTCATACATAATTTACAGAAATATATTGGCAATAGGTAGGCAACATTGAATGAAACTTTGTGAAAACTTTGCTTGGGTTTACCGAGTATAGGACCTGACTGAAAACAGACACTTAGACATTTGTTTTAAGGTATACTTCTGCTGGAATAGTCTTTATCCTTTGTTGGCTAAACAACATAATCAAATGCTTATGAATGGTCTTGAATTTGCTTTCTAACTTTATGTGGCTAAAAGATAACCACATTTATGGTTGTATGGCATCTAAATCTTTTGTTTCCATATGAGTTAGATTTTACTTTAGGGAAGATTCAATTACTGAAATTGAACTTTATTACGGTGTAAGTGTCATAAATGTCTAGAAGAAGCATCTTAGGGAGCTGTTTGAAAATTGTCCTACACAACCTGTGGGTGATAAAAAGTCAAAGACGCTTGCATCTAATGTCCTCTCTATTCTTAGCTCTGCTCAGTCACAAAAAGAAGGTCTAAATAAAAGAGAGACTGGAGTCCTCAAGAGCAATGGAGAGACTTGATGGAAAATGCTTACTTTATGTTCAAACTTGGTGCAAAGCTTTTTAAACTAAAAGTGCCCTAAATATTTCTCTTTTACCCAAGTAAATAGCACAAAGATGAAAATATATTTATTCCAAATAAAATAAAAGTAGTAATCTAGTAATATTTATTAATGTCTACTTTACCATTAATTTTAAAGATGGATTTGCATAATCATAGCATCTCTTTATCAGCTTATGATAGGAGTCATGAGATGTGAATCCAACATCACAATAATGAAACAGAAAGTGAAAAATACAAAAATCAAAGTGAAGGGATGCTTGCTTTTATATTCCTGCTTTTTATTTACTTCTACACCCCAAGTTAGACTGAGTCATCTTATAACGAAATGTTTTTCCCTTACCAGGAATGGGAAAATCTCATTCAGCTAGCGTATATTAGTGTTTAATGTATCACAGGCATTGTGTATACAGGCATGAGCATGACTTGGTTCCTGCCCTTATCTTCTAGTGGAGAATAAAGATGAGTAAACATATTATTAGAATTCAACTGGTCTAAATACTTGAGGAGAAGTGGAAATCTGGTAATGTTGGGATGCCCCAGAGTGCTAGAAAAACTTCTGAAAATTTAAGGGAACCTAGCCTAGCATGGAATATTGTAATCTGTAAATGTGTAACTGTAATGGGTACATTTATGTAGTGACTATTACCTAGCAAATCAAAGTCGTAAAGTTTCACTTTCTTAACAATTAAACTTAACTTGAATTTTCTGTTTCTGTCTAAGAAGATCCATATTTTTTTTTTCATTTGAACTAGGGTTTTTAAAATTTTTGTTCAAATATGAAATGAGATATTAAAAAATCAATTGTAACATATATAAATTAGTTTGGTATTCCTAAACTAAGGTTAAATCATTAGTTAATAAACTGGCACTAATTTTCTATCAGTCATTGTGCCAAATACTGAGTTTTGAAGATATTTAGAACGGAGCATCTACGGCCTAAAAGAGCTCAATTAGCCTAAATTCCATTGTAATATTACTATATTTATTCCTCAGATAACAGTTAAAGGAACATAAAACACAGTGGCTCGTGGGATTTACAAAGTAAAGTTTTAAGGAAAATTGGGTATTTACTGGACTGTTACAGACCTCTGAGCATTGTAATTTGCCAGTTATGATGGTACTGTGTCTTCCTCCCTTGAAACTACTTATTATCTTTTTGGAAATAAGATACTTCTCACATCATCCTCAGAAGAGAATAATGTTGTCTTCTTTGTGTTTTCTAAAATAAATATATATTTTAAAATAAAGTCTCTATATGGAGTTTTGTTAGGGTGTAATATTTCTCTTGAGTTCTCAAATTATGTTTTTGTTATACTAAGCTTTTACTTGATTAAACAGCCATTTAGTAAAACAGTTTCTTTCCTTTCAAAATCAATGTTTATGACTGTACTGAATTCTCTGTATTTCTTTCAGTGTTCCCAGGTGGTCACTTGAATTTCTACTGTTAAAACGATGATGTCTTTTTTTGTGTGCATAAGGTTATTTTTATTAACTTCTACGTTAATGCGTCTTCTCTAGGGTTGTTTCAGGATAATCTTCTGTTGTAGTTAGTCTATGTTTTGCCACATATTCACATGAAGTAAGGCTACTAAGCATAAACAAAATGATATTTAAGGTGATGAAGTTTTGCATTCTTGAATGTATATAAAATTGTTGAGCAGTGGAGAAATGAAGGGTTTATATAATTAAATATAAAACCATGTTTTCAGTCTGCTAAATTATGCATGAGTCTATATGATTTCTCAACCCCAAACATTTTAAAAAGAAAGAATAAAAGGAGCAATGAAATCATCTAATCCAGAAAAAGTCAGACAACCAAAAAACATTGAAAATAGAAAACTAATTGAATCTGATGGTAGAAACAACACCCAATATTATTAGCAGTCACAATAATTGTGAATAAATTAGTTTCCCCATAAATAGAAAAAATCATAATGCTGAGTGAAGAAACAAATTCTATTTGAATGCTATACATAAAGAAGTGAAATAAAAGACCTCAAATTACTTGAAATAAATGTTTGAGCAAAATATATAAGTGCATATAAAATGTAAGATTTGCTAATATTTAATTAAGCCAAAATAAATTTCAAAATTTCTATATAGAATAAATGGTACAAAAATGTTTCTGCATTGACACAAGCTACAATTTATCAAATTATGTAATAGTTCTGATCTTTTACTACCAAGTACCACATTACATTATATACAGCAAAAGTCATCACAAACAAATGAATTAGACAAAATCCACGTTAAAGACGGAGATCAATCATGCTTTTTTTTTTTTTAGAGTTTGACAATCATATAGACAGCACTAAAAATTAGGATACAGAGTAAATATATAAATGATCTATATCAAGACTGATGTTACATGGATGGTTATATGACAAAGACAGAGACAGACACCTAAAGAGAATGCAGATAGCATCCACACAGAGACAGTGTGTGTGTGTGTATGGGTGCTGAATATTCTGAACCAGGTGTATTTTCATATCACTTCAGAGATTACATTTTAGAGACTTATAGATAATTTAGAAATTTATTATAATGAGAACTAATAGGGAAATGGGCTCCCACAAATCTGAAGAATTTATGGGAAAGGATCTGGTCTTAGAGTTCAGGGCCAACTTTACCTAAATCTCAAAAAAGCAAGGGAGGATAAGTTACTATTTCCACCAAATATGCTACTAAAACAGAACAAGTTTATAAATTTGCTAAATCAAGTCTTCAGAATGTAACAATGGTGTTAGGAATAAGAATCTAGTCAGACAAATGAAACTCATGCAAAGTAGCTCAATAAAGAGGTAATAACACATTGAGCTATTTACAAATTCAAACGTTAAAGTCCAAACATAATATGGTGAGGCAATCCAAATGGAAAACTTGGCATTATCAAAGTTTGGGATGACAGAGGGGGATAGAACAGTAGGAACCGGGACTGTAGAAAGGGCCTATGCAGTAAAAGCTCAAGCCAGGGAGGGGACTTGGCTTCCGCTGGTTACTCTGCCCCTATCAGATTCAAGGAGAAAGGGGGTGAAATAACCTGGTTGCTGCCTTCTTTTCACTCTATAGTCTTCCACCAGGCCTCTCATTGGCCAACTGTACCCAGCATCTAAATAGTTAAGGAACCTGGGATACTTCTTTTGCTGGGTTAGCTTCCTGAGAGAAGAAGCAGGGCAAGAAGGTGAAGGAAGTGGATGTGTTAGTAAGTAGGCAAATGACAAGCATACAATGTTATCTATTTATTGGAGAAGCTCGTGGTTTACTTTCATTTTTTCATTATAGTACTCAGAGAGAAATGTATAACACAAATGTTTTACTATTAAACAAAATTATGCAATTACAAAGACTTATACAATTACCAAGACATACAATTACCAAGCATTCTTAAGGGGGAAAAATTATTCCATTTTGGAGGAAAAGCTATAGTTATACAATCATAATGATAAGTTGTGTTGAACAAACAGCATATAATTCTTCCTAACACAATTTTACCTTTTGCCATTCCTTTAGATTTTATTCAACTGGGATAATCTTATTCCACATAAGAACTGAGATAGATTTAGTGGCTTTTCTTCTCATCTTTGGCTAACTGAGAGTTTACTTTAAAGTTAAAAACAATCCTCAATTCAGTAATTACAATACTCAATCCCATTTAGTAAACAAAATTTCAAATTTGTCCTACTATTAATTCGTCTACACTCTTGCATCTCAGACCTTCTTCAAGCTGGGAAGTTGCTTGGGGCCAAGTCCTGCTCACTACTTTGTCCCAGTTAACTTCTGCCTTGACCAGCTGGCTATTTTTTCACTCTCCAAAAAGGTTGAAGGAGTTGATAGAAGATGGTGATTGGACCTGGCCAGCTTTTCCTTAGCTGGGTGGTTTCCTGCCTCTAAGCCTTGCAGATCTTTAAAGCTGTTTCTTCTCTTTTGTCAACTGTTCTTTTCCTAATGGAGCCATATCTCCTTGCATTCCCCTGACTCAAGCAAATATTTTTCTACACTCAAGTAATGTGAAACTCTTTCCTTAACTTCTGAGTACATGAAGGCATAATTTCAGCCTTTTTCTGCTGGGGATTTCTCACTTTCTAGCATCTACTAAAAGTATAGTTAGAATGAATAAGATCTAGTATTTGAAAGTATAACAGTGTAATTACAGCCAACAATAATTTATTGTGCATTTTAAAATAACAGTATATAATTGGATTATTAGTGACACAAAGAAAGGATAAATGCATGAGGCTGTGGATACTCTATTTACCTTGATGTGATTATTACATATTGTATGCCTATATCAAAATATTGCATGTACCCCATAAATATAAATACTTACTATATACCCACAAAAATTAAAAATTGAAAACTTTAAAAAGATTTGGGAGGCCGGGCGCGGTGGCTCACGCCTGTAATCCCAGCACTTTGGGAGGCCGAGGCGGGCGGATCACGAGGTCAGGAGATCGAGACCATCCCGGCTAAAACGGTGAAACCCCGTCTCTACTAAAAATACAAAAAATTAGCCGGGCGTAGTGGCGGGCGCCTGTAGTCCCAGCTACTTGGGAGGCTGAGGCAGGAGAATGGCGTGAACCCGGGAGGCGGAGCTTGCAGTGAGCCGAGATTGCGCCACTGCACTCCAGCCTGGGCGACAGAGCGAGACTCCGTCTCAAAAAAAAAAAAAAAAAAAAAAAAAAAGATTTGGGAATTGGCCAACATAGGAATATCTCAACAGAAGAACACAAGTATTTCGCATTTCTTCCACCCTTGGAAAAAAGTAGATAACTAGTTCTGTATTTCTTTGCTATTTGTTTCAAATTCTTAATCCCTTGGAGATAGATTCTGTTTAAACTTAGGTCCCTTGTCTGACCTTTGGCTTTATCTAGTTGGAAAGAGGAAAAAGTTCAGTAAAAATATACTTCAAGGACCCTTCTGCTCAGAGAAGCACTTGAGCTTTCTATTTCACAAAAAAAATGGGGACTTTCATTACTTAGTGCTAGATGACAGAGAAAGCACAAATGTATAAGCACTTATCAATGTTCTGCTTAAGTCCTGTTTGCTAATAATTGCATTAGGAAAGGTAAGTTGTTGGGCCAAGCCCAGATGAAAGGAATTGATAAATAGATTATACTTCTTGATGAGAAAAATTATGAAGCCCAACAAAATGGAAACATGAATACATGGATGGAAAGAATGTGTATCCTTCTTTCGCAATTTGTCATACATATATCAATACATTGTTTTATGGCCCATATTCATTCTTTCACTAGATGTTTTCCAACACTTATTTTTGTATCAGACACTATATTGGGCAATTAAGATTTAATTATATATCCTAGTCTCTGATAAAACAGACTTTAAACTAACAAAGATCAAAAGAGACAAAGAAGGCCATTACATAATGGTAAAGGGATCAATCCAACAAGAAGAGCTAACTATACTAAATATATATGCACCCAATACAGGAGCACCCAGATTCATAAAGCAAGTCTTAGAGACCTAAAAAGAGACTTAGACTCTCACACAATAATAATGGGAGACTTTAACACCCCACAGTCAACATTAGGCAGATCAACAAGACAGACAGTTAACAAGAATATCCAGGAATTGAACTCAGCTCTGCACCAAGCGGACCTAATAGACATCTACAGAACTCTCCACCCCAAATCAACAGAATATACATTCTTCTCAGCACCACATCACACTTATTCCAAAGTGGACCACATAGTTGGAAGTAAAGCCCTCCTCAGCAAATATAAAAGAACAGAAATTATAACAAACTGTCTCTCAGACCACCGTGCAATCAAACTAGAACTCAGGATTAAGAAACTCACTCAAAGCCACTCAACTACATGGAAACTGAACAACCTGCTCCTGAATTTTGGGTACATCCTGTACTGGGTACATAACGAAATGAAGGCAGAAATAAAGATGTTCTTTGAAACCAATGAGAACAAACACACAACATACCAGAATCTCTGGGACACATTTAAAGCAGTGTGTAGAGGGAAATTTATAGCACTAAATGGCCACAAGAGAAAGTACAAAAGATCTAAAATTGACACCCTAACATTGCAATTAAAAGAACTAGAGAAGCAAGAGCAAACACATTCAAAAGCTAGCAGAAGGCAAGTAATAAGTAAGATCAGAGCAGAACTGAAAGAGATAGAGACACAAAAAACCCTTCAAAAAATCAATGAATCCAGGAGCTGGTTTTTTGAAAAGATCAACAAAATTGAAAGACCGCTAGCAAGACTAATAAAGAAGAAAAGAGAGAAGAATCAAATAGACGCAATAAAAAATGATAAAGGGGATATCAGCACCGATCCCACAGAAATACAAATTACCATCAGAGAATACTATAAACAGCTCTATGCAAATACACTAGAAAGTCTAGAAGAAATGGATAAATTCCTGGACACATACACCCTCCCAAGATTAAACCAGGAAGAAGTTGAATCCCTGAATAGATCAATAACAGGCTCTGAAATTGAGGCAATAATTAATAGCCTACCAACCAAAAAAAGTCCAAGACCAGACGGATTCACAGCCGAATTCTACCAGAGGTACAAGGAGGAGCTGATACCATTCCTTCTGAAATTATTCCAATCAATATAAAAACAGGGAATCCTCCCTAACTCAATTTATGAGGCCAGCATCATCTTGATACCAAAGCCTGGCAGAGACACAACAGAAAAAGAGAATTTTAGACCATTATCCCTGATGAACATCAATGCAAAAATCCTCAATAAAATACTGGCAAACTGAATCCAGCAGCACATCAAAAAGCTTATCCACCACGATCAAGTTGGCTTCATCCCTGGGATGCAAGGCTGGTTCAACATATGCAAATCAATAAATGTAATCCAGCATATAAACAGAACCAAAGACAAAAACCACATGGTTATATCAACAGATGCAGAAAAGGCCTTTGACAAAATTCAACAGCCTTCATGCTAAAAACTCTCAATAAATTAGGTATTGATGGGACGTATCTCAAAATAATAAGAGCTATTTATGACAAACCCACAGCCAATATCATACTGAATGGGCGAAAACTGGAAGCATTCCCTTTGAAAACTGGCACAAGACAGGGATGCCCTCTCTCACCACTCCTATTCAACATAGTGTTGGAAGTTCTGGGCAGGGCAATCAGGCAGGAGAAAGAAATAAAGGGTATTCAGTTAGGAAAGAGGAAGTCAAATTGTCCCTGTTTGCAGATGACATGATTGTATATTTGGAAAACCCCATCATCTCAGCCCAAAATCTCCTTAAGCTGATAAGCAACTTCAACAAAGTCTCAGGATACAAAATCAATGTACAAAAATCACAAGCATTCTTATACACCAATAACAGACAAAAGGAGAGCCAAATCATGAGTGAACTCCCATTCACAATTGCTTCAAAGAGAATAAAATACCTAGGAATCCAACTTACAAGGGACGTGAAGGACCTCTTCAAGGAGAACTACAAACCACTGCTCAAAGAAATAAAAGAGGGCACAAACAAATGGAAGAACATTCCATGCTCATGGATAGGAAGAATCAATATCATGAAAATGGCCATACTGCCCAAGGTAATTTATAAATTCAATGCTATTCCCATCAAGTTACCAATGACTTTCTTCACAGAATTGGAAAAAAACTACTTTAAAGTTCATATGGAACCAAAAAAGAGCCCGCATTGCCAAGTCAATCCTAAGCCAAAAGAACAAAACTGGAGGCAACATGCTACCTGACTTCAAACTATATCACAAGGCTACAGTAACCAAAACAGCATGGTACTGGTACCAAAATAGAGCTATAGACCAATGGAACAGAACAGAGCCCTCAGAAATAATACCACACATCTAAAACCATCTGATCTTTGACAAACCTGACAAAAACAAGAAATGGGGAAAGGATTCCCTATTTAATAAACGGTGCTGGGAAAACTGGCTAGCCACATGTAGAAAGCTGAAACTGGATCCCTTCCTTACACCTTATACAAAAATTAATTCAAGATGGATTAAAGACTTAAATGTTGGACCTAAAACTATAAAAACTCTAGAAGAAAACCTAGGCAATACCATTCAGGACATAGGCATGGGAAAGGGCATCATGTCTAAAACACCAAAAGCAATGGCAACAAAAGCCAGAATTGACAAATGGGATCTAATTAAACTAAAGAGATTCTGCACAGCAAAAGAAACTACCATCAGAGTGAACAGGCAACCTACAGAATGGGATAAAATTTTTGCAATCTACTCATCTGACAAAGGGCTAATATCCAGAATCTACAAAGAACTCAAACAAATTTACAAGAGAAAAACAAATAACCCTATAAACAAGTGGGCGAAGGATATGAACAGACACTTCTCAAAAGAAGACATTTATGCAGCCACCAGACAATGAAAAAATGCTCATGATCATTGGAGATTAGAGAAATGCAAATCAAAACCACAATGAGATACCATCTCACACCAGTTAGAATGGCAATCATTAAAAAGTCAGGAAACAACAGGTGCTGAAGAGGATATGTAGAAATAGGAACACTTTTACACTGTTGGTAGGTCTGTAAACTAGTTTAACCATTGTAAAAGACAGTGTGGCGATTCCTCAGGGATCTAGAACTAGAAATACCATTTGACCCAGCCATCCCATTACTTATAATCCCAAAGGATTATAAATCATGCTGCTTTAAAGGCACATGCACACGTATATTTATTGCAGCACTATTCACAATAGCAAAGACTTGGAACCAACCCAAATGTCCATCAATGATAGACTGGATTAAAAAAATGTGGCACATGTATACCATGGAATACTATGCAGCCATAAAAAACGATGGGTTCATGTCCTTTGTAGGGACATGGATGAAGCTGGAAACCATCATTCTCAGCAAACTATCACAAGGACAAAAAACCAAACTGCATGTTCTCATTCATAGGTGAGTATTGAACAATGAGAACAGTTGGACACAGGAAAGGGAACATCACACACCGGGGCCTGTTGTGGGGTTGGGGGAGGGGGGAGGGATAGGATTAGGAGATATACCTAATGTAAATGACGAGTTAATGGGTGCAGCACACCAACATAGCACATGTATACATATGTAACAAACCTGCACGTTGTGCACATGTACCCTAGAATTTAAAGTATAATTTAAAAAAACACAAATTAATTTAAAAAAAGATTTAATTATATATGTAAAAAAACTCTTATTCTTAAGAATCATTTACTCTGAGGAGATAAAGACAGGCAAATAAAAAGTAACTGGAATATTATATGCTATGTGTTATGTTAAGAATATGCACAGTGTTGTAAGACAACATTGAAGGACTAGTGAAGGAGCAGGCAGTAGTGTTACTTCTGGCAGAGGAAGGAACAAGGGTAATGCATTTTGGAGAAGATGACCTATCAGTGGAAGTTAGAAGACCAGGAGAGCCAGGCCTGGTGGTGCACCCTTGTAGTCCCAGCTACTCAGGAGGCTGAGGCAGGAAGATGGCTTGAGCCCAGGAGTTCAAGACTGCAGTAAGCCATGATTGTGCCACTGTACTCCAGACTGGTTACAGAGCAAAACCCTGACTCAAACTGCCTCAAAAGAAAAAGAAAAAAAGAAAGAAAAGAAAAAGGAAGAGGACCAAGATGCTCCTTATCATTTATCCTTATCATTATTATCATGTATCCTTACGTGTCTCATTTATTATTAACAATAATAATGATAAACGTAAAGACCCCAGTGTGATCCTCAAAATTAATAGGTGCTCAAAAATCAAAGCTACCCTTATTAAATAAAATTTACTGAATGTGACAATTAACGTTAAATATTAAGGAGAAATAGAAAAGAATTAAGCTAACATCAAAATTTCCAGCAATGACATCTGGTAAGTAATTATGCCAGGAAAAGGAGCAGGGTTCCATGTGAAAACAAGTAGGAAATGCCAAGTAGACTGTTGGGTAAGATGTTCTAGAGCTCAGGACACAGACTTGTACCCAAGCAAGGAATTGTTAGTCATTAGTGTTCACTGTAGATATATTTGAGACAATTCAAATATTAATACAATAACTTTTAAGTATACATTAAGAGATAAAAGAAAGGGGGAGGGAGGGAACGGGAGAGAGATTGAGACAGAGGGAGAGAGAGAAAGAAGAAGAAGGAGAGAGAGAGAGAGCCTTTTAACTTGTTCAGGTGTTTAAAAATGTCTAATATTTGGTTATTTAAAAACCAGGTGTGACTCTTACCTCTGAAGCTCTTTTCTGCCCCAAACAGCTTCTCAGCCTCTTAACTATTAATTATATCCTTATTATCTCCATTTCAGCCTCTTTACCATAACCCTAGTTTAGATATCTATAAATTCTTCCATGAATTACTGCAGTGGCCTCCTAATTGGCTTTCCTATTCTAATTTCATACACATTAAATACAAACATATTTAAATATGTAACTATCCTCTGTCAAAATGTGTCAAATAATTTCTATTATCTACTTCATAGAAATCTCAAATTCTTAGCATATTGTGAGTTAACTTCACTGACCTTCCATGCACATCTCCACTCAATGTTGGCCTTTCTTTCTAAATTGCCTCCCCTTTCCTCCTTACAGTGAGAATTCTTGCTAATCTTTGAGTTCTTCACCAAATTTTCTTTCCCAATTTTATTCCATTCCTCTCTTTAGCCTATTCTGGTAAATTCTGGTATTATTCCTTCTGTTCTTAAAATACACTTTGTAGTTTGTTTTAGATAGATTATATTTCAATTGCTTTACATCTATTTGTTCACTGCATTATTAGACACTTGAGTAAAAGTACTAAGCCTTTACAGTACTTAGCATAGGAGAGGTTCAATAAATGTGAAAACATACCAATTAATTAATACAATATTTTTATTCTTAATACTTTGTTTAATTCTGTAAGGCAGGGGAATAAAAGCACATAGTCTGATCATTTAAAAATATACCCCAAATAATTGATAAATAAAAGATTTTATTCTATAACTAGAAACAAGTATGTACTCTTAGTTCTAACTAAATGATTTTTTAAGAATATTATTTTCCTTGTAAAGATTGAATTTGTAATTTATACCTTATAAGATATTATCAATGGTCTAAATGGGTTTTGAATTTATAAGTGTTCCTTTAAATATTAGATGTATTACATCAGATGCCTTCTATTACCTTTTTGAACTACCATGTGGCTTCTGTCACAAAGAAAAACATTGTAGACATAAATCAAAATGTTACATTATGTTATTTACATGAGACTTTATATATACACTACTTCATACTATGTCTAAAGTATATTCTAACAAAAACATTTTTCTTCTATTTGTCACCTTATTTTTCATTCACAAATGACAACAAAATGAAAGGCCCATTAAGTTAATATATATCAGATAAAACAGAGGTAAATATTATCAAAACAATAAAACACTTTCAAAGTGCATTGCTCTTCTTTATTAAATTACAATATAAAAGGAAATAAGATGAAACTTTACATTAGTTGTTATAATGTTTATGCCTTAGGCTTTTGTTGCAATATACCTTTAGTTAATGGAATACTTTTCCTTTTCCGAGGATGGTAAGCACAATTTGTTTGGGGAGTTGAATTTAATTATAGAATTTTATTTTGAAAAATGAGATAAAATTATAAAACTTTAATATTTTCTTCACGTGTACAATTTTCTTGAGGTACAGCATGGAGGAAACTTTCTATTTGCAAAGAACACCTGCCCATTTTCGTAGAAATCTACTTACTAAATTTGATGCTAAGTTTTTAATTACCAATACATGTAGGTTTTATTATTTAAAATATAATTTTAGAATATTCAATATTTTATGTCATCTATAATTCCTCTAAAGATTTTATACTTATAACTTAAAAATTTTGAAGGCAAACTTAGAAATAAGAGGAACTTATTAACTCTTAGAAATATACATTAACTCTTAGAAATAAGAGGAATTTAATTTGAGATGTCATTAGATTGTAATAGGCTAAGAAACATGGCAGATCTGAGCAAGCAATTCCTCCTATTTATAGGGGCATAATCATGAAGAAAAATGGTAACTTCCATTTGGTAGCTCTGACTGACTTCTGCTGGGAAACCAGTATTGAAATAAGGTGAACTAGATTGGAAGTTTGGTCTGCTACAGAGGTCAAAGCATAAAAAACAAACCTAAACCTGAATCTTAATATTATGAGTATTTTCTTCATCTTAAAAAAAAGTGACAGAGAGGCAGACATTAAATTTTAGAGCTTTTATGTTTCATAATTTAAAATTATTTAATGTTATGTATTATGAAGCTTCTATTCCAAATAATGGCCTAGGAAAGAAGGTTCCACGATGCTATTTGTAAATATTTGCCTGAATTTAGGTCTGATGTAAGGAGTAGTTTAATCCCAACTAATGAAAATTTAAATTTGAAATAAATGTCAAAAAGTAGTTTATCACTTTTGTATTAGTTTTCAATTACTAGGACATTCTGATGTATTGTCAAACAAATGTTATCAGAAAAAGGCGACTTACACCTTTGGTAGAAATCTAGGTGGGTGTGCAGAATTACTCAGTTTCAAGGTTCCTTATTACCTTGTTATATTTCTATATCATTGTGTTTTGTGCCTCCTGTTTTAACAAGTAGTCCATTATAGGCTTAAAAGTAACAAATGTGTAAATAAAAATTGTAGAAACAGACTTTAAAATTAATGATTATAACTCTGACAGTTGTTAGTGAAAGTGAACTAAGTGGGTAATCTAACTGATTGATTGTGTCAAGAGTGCGCATCTGATCCTCACAAACCTGGGATTGTCACTCAATATGAGTTTGTGACTTCCTGAAGCATTTCATTTTAAAAAAATAATCAAATAGTTATTATCAGATAATTATTATTTGTTATATATTAATAATAATATCTTATGTGAGTATTAACAGGATGCCAGACGAGATGATTCTTTTGTGCCTTAATGTTGGCTAAAATACAAACCCAATAGATATCTGACAGTTAAGTGAATATTAGGAAAGCTTTACATGCAGAATTTACAAAGCAAATGACAAAAAAAAAAACCAAACAAACATGTTCCCTTATTTGTTGCTTTTTCTACAAGATTTAAGTTACAAAAATAGATCAGATTGATGAGAGGAGAAAGTATTTTGGGGAGACTTTTTAGAGAGAGCTGTCTTAGAATGTAAATTTCTAAGGGGAGAGTGGTGTGCCTCCTTTTCTTTAGGTTGGCAATGCAGTGGGACCACTCACGGTTCTGAAGTATGTTTCTTGAAGGTGTGAGACAAAGATGACAAGAAGCTGACTTATACAGAAATCTGAATAATAAGAAATGGGCTAACCTACTACTTTGAATGTGAAGACAGCAGCTTTTTTTGTGACCAGTCTGGAGATGCCTATCATAGTGGCCTGAGTTTGTAACCCCAGATTCAATCTTTCTCAGGGCAAATGATGTGTGGATCTTTCCTGTAGACAACGTTTGGGGTGTGCATAAGGAGGACAAGAATGATTCATGGTTTTGCTGAATAAGGTTACCTGGGGGAGTGAGGAACTCTGATTGCAACAACCCACAGGCGAACATTAGACTTCTAGAAGCTAAAGGAGTAGTTGAAAGTGACTACCTAAAAGGGATTCAATCACCAAAGTCAAAGGAACTATCAGATGGAAATCCCCAGCAAAGGAATCTCTGAAGGACTCTGAAGAGAGAGTCACCTGGCACACAAAGGAATGTAAAGGCAGTTTGTAGTAAAACCTGTTTAAGCAAGATCTGTCTTGCCTTTTATCTCTTTTTATCTTCCCTTACATTCCCTCCACCATGCCTCTCATCCCCACACCCAGTCTCAATCAGAAATTGGTTAGAAAATTAAAACATAATCAGAGAAGTTAAATTTACTTTTTTTTTCCCCATAAGCTTACAGGTAAAAGTAAGCTCAAGATAGGAAAAAAATGGAGATTAAATCAAATTTGTACTATTGAGTATATCTTGTATCAGATATCAGACAAGATGGTGTTTGTTAGCTAATGTGACTAAAGCATCAAATACCTCAAACAAGATAGTGTTTGTTAGCTGATGTGACTGAAGCATCATGTACTAACAAAGAATGCCAGCACAAAAACTTTATTGCCATGGGTGTGCTAGCATTTTCATCTAATGGACACAATGGGTAACTGGCAGTTGAATAAATTTAAAATCAATAATGGAAGACAAAGAATTAATTTACATGTTGTTTGTTTCCTCAGCTAGTCTTATTCAAATATTATTAATATATTATAGGATTATTTGATTTTTTGATGTGGTACATTCTTAAAAATAAGGAAAAAAAATCCTTGGGTGCCAGAAAGGAAGAGGAAAACCATAGCTGAGGAGACAGCATCCACATGGAATTTTAGTTATACTGCATCAGGTACCTGCATACATAGGGAATGGACTTTGGTATTCTTGTGAGTCAAAGTGAGGCAACAGGCCATGTGTGCATGTGATGCACACGTGCTGGAAAGCAGGGTCTTGAAAACAGGTTCCCTACAGCTAAAGTCAGGAAATGAACAGTTTACTTTGTACAAGTTGAAAGAAATAGTCCACTGGCCCACCGCCTTATAGATACAGCACAAAAATGGGCAACAAAATTTCAGGAATGATAGGAACAGAATCAACCCCAGAATCAGAGCTCTTAGCCTGTATCTTGTAAGAGCATTATATTAATTTTATAAAATTGTCATTAAAATTATATAAATAAATACCTGTAAGGATCCTGGAAATATGCTTGGCATACACTATGTCCTAAAAAAATTTTAGTTTCCTTCCTGCAATAAACTGCTGAATTAATTTCATATAGATCAAATATTTATTTCTGCAATAATTATCCAATAGTAATTTTTCATATTTCAAAATTGGCTGTCAAATATTTATAAATATTGATCACTCATATAATATTTGATGAAATGTGAAAACACACAATGTATTTAAAGTACATATTAAAAAATATGTAGTGCCTCAGAAGCAAATCTAATTATTACCTCAGTAATAATGCCACCAATATCAATCCAGAAAACTATAATTTAATTTTTATTTAAAGTACATTACTTTGGGTGGTTTATCTCTGTTTGTTAATATACACTTCTACGTCTTCTATCTAATCTTAGCGTAGAATAGTCTTACCTTTAACTTTGAATATTATTATAATTGGCATTGTTGGCTTGTCTAACTTTATAAAGTTTTATAAAAATGTCTTTAGTACATTTTTGATATTCATTAAGCCAGTAGGAGCAGGTCATTGGATGGAAAAATACAATTTGGTTACATGTGCCTAAAACTGAGTTTTTTGATTGACTCACAGTGATATAGTTTAAACAATTCTAATTTCTATCATTATAACACAATCTTCATGCCATAAAGACTTAAAATATCATCAAGTTCTTAAATATTGAAGAAATACCAATAAGATAATTTTTCTTTGGATTCTGAAGGTGAATATTTTAGACTTCATTACCTATATTAGTTTAAGTATTCGCCCATAGAATTAGAACAAAGACTCTTACCTTCCTGAATTTGAAATGAGGAACACCATTTACACTTGATTTTAGAATGTATGCCAAAAATAATTAGCTCCTGTAACAGGGAATGACTCTGAATTTATTGGGAGCCATGACTATAGCATAGAAAAGTACAGCAAAAGCAACAGAAATTCTAGTGTTTCAAGGACATTAAGCTCTGACTCAGTCCTCAGAAATGAGGTCAGGATTTAATTCAGACCATACCCTAATCTTGAGATTTAATATGGTCTTAGACATTCTATAATATGGAAATCAAACATAAAATTCAACCAGTAATGGCAGCACCTTTCAGATGTGGGAGCAATTATGTACATAAAAGTTTGAATGAGATGTAAGAATGTGTTTTTTTTTCTTTTAAAGTATTCTATTTCTGGTCATCTCTACTCTTCACTCTCTCTATTCTATTCTTCACTGGTGGTCATACTTGACTACTTTTAACTAAGGTCTTATACAGTTTTGAAACTTGGAGGCTGTCCATCACTGTATGTAGCTCACATATATATTCATGGCCTGTTTCTGACATTTATCTACTTCATTAATTTATATGTGTATGTATTTGTTTTCTAAAAATTACATTAAGTTCTTTTGCGGAAACTTATTCCTATGTGTATTTGCCCCAAGAAACTCATAGAATCTCTTACAATATAGTAGACATTCACATCATGCTACAAAAATAACAATCAATTCACAGGGCACTAAATCTGGGGAAGAACATTTTTCAAAGGCATGTTATGTGTTCTCCTCTTGATAGTGAGTTGTATTGAGGAGATGGGTCCCATACTGGGATCCTTGTAATAAATCAAAGATTGTTCTGTCATGCAGCCACTCAGAACCTGAGTGGGTCAACCATTTACAGATATTTTCTAGTTCATTCAGATCTAAGTGTTAGCAGCAGAAATTCTTTATGATTAATGAAATTCTAATGTCTACCAAAGTATTGATTTTTATCTTATGCCTTTTATACTGTAAGATTTTCATTTATTTGTTTCATTTTGTTTTTCTTGTATTTCTTAATAAATTCAGAATGAGGGCAACTTCATAGTTGTTCAGTACATTTAATGACATAGAGACATTTACCTACTCATCCCTAGTCACAAACATACACAGATATTTAGCAAACTGTATTATTTATTGATGTTCGTTCTCATTCTGCTAGACAGAATGAGAAATGCTGGGCTAGGGGTCAAAAATGTTCTTATAATGTTGAGAAACATGGGCACATCATTTGATAAGGATATCAGGGAAAACTGCGTGAATATCATGATGTGTGAAGGCTTTTGAATGACAGTAAGGATATATTAGAGAGTGGCATAGAAATGGAGCTATACAAATGAATTTCAGCCCAAAGTAAGAGCTACGGTAAACATTTGGAGGTGAAAACATGATGATGTGTAAAAGAAAGAGCAAACAGTCTCACTCAACTGGAGGATAGAATTTGAATATTGTAGAAAATACTAGATTTTTTTCTTATATGTAATAGCTCTTTGGGAGGCCATTTCTATTTCTTTCATTCTTTTTAAGACAAGATCTTGCTATGTCACCCAGACTGGAGGGCAGTGGTGCCATTAGGGCTCACTGCAGCCTCTACCTCCCAGGCTTAAGTGATCCTCCCCTCTAGGTCTCTCCAATAGCTGGGACTACAAGCACACACCACCATGTCTGATGATTGTTTTTTTTAACCTTTTAGCCTTTGGTAGAAGTAGAGTCTCACTGTGTTGGCTACGCTGGTCTCAAACTCCTGGATTCAAGTGATTCTTCCACTTCAACCTTCCAAAATGCTGACATTACAGGCATGAGCAAGTTGCCTGGCTCATTTTTATTTATTTTTAGCCAAGAACTGATAAGCTATGATCTGTGCATTAAAAATACGAATATGACAGTGGCATATACTGCCATGCTTTTTTTTATTTGGCTGAGAACCACAGAAAGAAATATATTTTATGTCATCAGTATCTTGTATAGACATATACATGTAACACAAAAATTTGCATATGAATTACTTATCTATACTTATAAGAAATGTTTTTACCTGTGTTGTTATTCTGTTGTCTTATATTTTTGTTCTATATCATTTTATTTTTAAATTATTTTTGTGATTATACATTGGGTCATAACCACCAGTTTGAAAACCCCTGGTATTGGGTATATAAGTATTAAAATGAATGAGTTTTCAGATAAGAGGATTAGATAAGAAATAATTACATTACTTCCCCCAAATTAAGCTTATCTACATGTGAAGGGAAAAATTAGCGAATGCATCAATGTGAGAGAAATTGAACAGGGAGTATCCATGAGGATATCATATGAAAATCTGTGAGGATAAGGAAGTTGAAGATAGAGGAAATAATTCCAAGATTTGGGATTTGGGGAATTAGTAAATTCAGAGAGAATATCTGATTGTGTTAGAGAATCAATGTGGAAGCTATATGATCAGGTAGGTGCTTAGATGTTGAGTTTGTTTTTAGATACATGATCTAAAATATTGATGGTCACTCAGATAAAATTCAAAGGATAAAAATGAAAGGAGAGAAACAAAATGTGGATAAAAGGAATATGATTCTCTCCTAAATAAAACTCCTAAATTTCAGTGGCTTCACTTTACTTCTTGCTTACTTCATAATCCAAAATGGTATTCTGGTGAGGTTGCTCTCCTCCAGAGAATAGTGATTTAGGGACTAAGGGTCCTTGCAGTGTGTGGCTTCTCCATCTTCAACATATGCTTATGTTGTCCTGGAAGCATTCTTCATTTTAGCCAAAAGACAAA
Organism: Homo sapiens; assembly: GCF_000001405.40. Lineage (NCBI taxonomy): Eukaryota > Metazoa > Chordata > Mammalia > Primates > Hominidae > Homo > Homo sapiens. The sequence continues at coordinate 95,289,600 of NC_000006.12, read as the reverse complement.
ACAAAAAAAATCCATGTATGGATAGTTTTAGGATCAGGCTTGAAAAAGGTATTGATCACTTCTATCCACATTCTTTTGACCAGAAAACTCACTTAATTTTGTGGGAGGCTGAGAATTTCATCTACATGTGCACCCAAAAGAAAGAGGAAAGTGGATTTGGTGACTACATACTACATACTAGTGTCTTCCATATTGTATTACTTTGGTAGGGCTTCCATAACAACATATGACACATAGTGTGGCTTAAACAACAGAAAATTGTTTAACTCCCAGTTCTGGAGATTAGGCTTTCAAGATCAATGTCTCATTGAAATGGTTCTTTCTGAGGGATGTGAGGGAGACATCTTTTCCATGTCTCTCACTTAGCTTCTAAAGGTTTGCTGAAAATCTTTGGCATTCCTTGATTTGTAAAAAAATCATTCTAATCCCTCCCTTTATCTTCTTCATATGTCTGTGTCTAAATTTCTCCTTTTTATAAGGACACTAATCTTGTTGAGTCAAGGGCACACCCTATTCCAGTATGATTTCATCTTAATTTAAGAAATTACATCTACAAGAACCTCATTTGCAAATAAGATCCCATTCTCAGGAACTAGGTGGCTAAGTTCTTCATCAATGCAATTTTCAGGGGTAAAGAATTCAAGGCTTAACACATATGAAGAGAAACTTGAAGTGCTAAACACACAAGACATGGAGTCACTTGAATACATGTGAAAGACTAATTTCACCAATGAAGTATTTGGGGCAGAACTTTTGGGAGTGCTTACAGTAGAAGCATGAGGAGGAAGACAAAAGTAAACAAATTCCCCCATGAGTGCCAGAGGTGAGGGTCAGATGAGATTATTCCAAATGAGAATAGCACAGAGTCACAGAATCAAGGACGGAGAAGGTTGCATTTGAGGAGAGTGCTTCTTAAGGGAGGAAGTCACCAGTGCCAATTGTTGGAGCTGCTGTGCAACTCATAGCCAGATTTGTGTTCAGGACTTTCTTTGTATAATGAGAATATTCTCATACAGAGAACAATAGCTTGCCCAACATCTTTTAATAAGCTACTTGCAAAATTGAGATTGGCAATGAAAGCTCACAAGTCTGAAATAAGCCAAGTTTCTGGCTCTCTAATCTATATATACCACCTGTCTGTTTTTGCTGGAAGAAACAGTGAGAGAACACACACTTGTCTCTATAGGATTTTAACTTGTGAAATGTTTTGGATTGCCTATTTAATCTTTCTGATACTTTTTCAGGGCCAGAAAGTTTATCTGGATCTATTTCATGGCAAATCAGGATCTACAAATTAATGTAGTATGGTCCTGTTATTGCATCAGTGTCTAGGGAAGTAGCACAGCATATGGAAAGCTTGTCAAACTGGACATGTTTCCTAGGCTCTTAATTCTTACCCCAAGGGTGTGACCTTAAGCAGTCAGATAAACACTGTGAATTTCCATCTTTTCACGTGTAAAATTAGTGGACAAATGTCTAAAATCTAGGATCATCCTTGGTGTTATCCCCCCTCCTTATGTTTCATACCTGGATTAAATAAACCGAAAGCCTATATGACATAAGGTGCACTATTCTAGGCATTCTCACATACATTATTTAATAATCTTTCAAATTTGATTGATTTAATAGTGAGAGATTATCCTCTACAATGTATATTCATAGAGCACAACTTAAAATTGATAGACTGGTGTAAAATTAAATCAAAATATTTTTCTGTGTCATTCCACCATGTGTAATGAAAGCAGAGTGCACTACAAATACAGAGAGAAACAAACCTTTTTAAGCCAGTGTTCAGTGAGAAGCAAGATCTGCATAACTTTTTTCTACTCTTGGCACTACAAACCTGCAGATATTGCCCATGGGGTTCAGGTTTTTTTATATAGCAATACCTGGAAGGCTTCCTTCCTTACCTTAGCACTTTAAGTGAATATCCAAACAAACTGTAAAGGATAATTAAACCTGTATTCTTAAATTACAACTATATGTAATTTACTATATATTAATTTTAATATGTGTTTATTTATAATTTATAATTATAATTTATAAAATTATAAACATATTTATAAAATTATAAATATATAAAATATATAAAAAATATAAATATATGAAATATAATTTATATATTTTAAATTATAAAAATATAAATATAATTTATAATTTATAATGATATGTATGGATGTGGGCATATTGTTTCATATATATGTTTATATATGTGTGTGTATATATATACATATATATATAAAACTTCCATAAATGCTATGAAATAACTTTTCATAAAAAGATTTACAGCAAAACAATGACATTAACCTATATCTGTTTTTCTACTTTGGAGAGTTTAATTTACTTTAAGAAAAATATAATTCACAGAGCAATTTGGGTTGCAACTTTAGTATTCAGTCCCTTCAAATAATTTATAAGATATAATTTTATTTACTCATAAGAAATATAATCAGATTTGTAGCAGCTGTTGCTGTAAAAACAGAAAAGTTTGTGGGTTTCAAAGTAACAGGCACACATGCCCTGCTCCCTGGCAGTGCCCCAAGGCAGATGGTGAGCCTCAAGGGATCTGGCTTAATGGTGCATACTGAGTTTTAGATACTGGGATTTCTAGCCACTACAAATATTTTCATGTCTTAAGGATGGTACAAAAGCACAGACTCCTAAATCAAAAGGACCATGAAAACTTTCTTACTGGGTATCTTGGATATAGCTGGTGTGGACTGAGGACTAGTGCCTGGAAGGGCTACTCCAATATCTTGACATTAAGTCTGATTCTTGGACCTTTGCACAACTCTTGGGTATAAAGCTTCAAGAATAACATGCAGAATGGATTAGGGTTTTGGATTTCTCTTGAAAGGAAAAAATGATGTAAATATATAAATATTTTCAGTTTACTAGTCTTTGTATTGAGAGAAATTGCTAGCCAGGGACACAGGGAATAATCTGTGTTCTATTCAGCTCATACTGATCCTCCTCTGTTTTATCTGATGGCATTACTGTTTAATTATGTTTAAAGAATCATTTCCTTCTTTTATTTTTTGTGCCTCCTGCTATTTTTGGAAAGTTCTTGCTAGTGACACCCATATATGCTCATAATTCACTTTAAGTGCTGAGCTGTTGCCAGTTGATTTCCAGAGCAGTTTTATTCCACCAATACTCCCAGTGAAAGGGAGGGTAGCTAGGTTGGCTTGTTAACAGTGGTACCTGAGTGACTTTTGTGAGTTTTGTTGGCTCTACAGCTTTGTCTATAACTTGTGTAGAGGGGTCAAAATATACTCACCCTTTCATATGATGTGTGAAGAAAACACTGATTCTTTATTTACAATAACTGATCCAATTTTCCTCCTACCTCAGTCCCCACCCCCTAATTTAATTAGGGGGAAAACTAACCTTAAATTTGCCAGGTTATGGTATTATTGGCCCTTTCAGTTTAAATAACTTCTGGGTTATTTGGGCTTGGTCTTTCCATTTCGTTCCTGTCTGCCAAATTGGATTTCTCTCAAACATGTTGCCTATGTAAAAGAACTGCCAAATAGAAATGCACCAGGCACTTGTTAAAAATGACGGGAGGAGTTTATCCAAGACTCTTGCATTAAGAGTCAAAACTATGGAATAGGGGAGAGTGAACTCAACTCCATCAAAACAAAAAGTGGGAGGATGTTTAAATGCTAGGATGAACTAATAAAAAATTACTGGAGGACATTAGGGAGGAGGTTAGCCAATGTGATTAGGTTATCTGTGTTTGCTAATTGGCCCTTATGGAAGACAGGCTCCTTTCCTCCCACTGAGATTGGGAGACAGCCTGATCTTTCTTAATGAACACATTTCAAAGAGCTAGCTCCCAGATCCCCAGAAAGACAGTCTTAGTTGCAGAAAATTTGCATCTCAAAAGGGCAGAGGAAAAAATTAACAATTGCAAGTTTTCTAAAGTAAACACTCTAAGAAAAGGGAAGTCAGGGGCCTAAGGTCAGGAAGACACCTGTCTACTGTTTGGTCAATTTGAGGGGAATGTTATAGTCACCTCGGTCACCTGGTTTATATGTGGAGTGATTGTGACTACACAATGGTAAAGGGGAGGGGAATCTCTGCTCCAAATATGACCCTTTAATTTTTGTTGGTTTCTGCTGCCCCTAGGTCTACTGTGTATAGGACTCTGTAGTGTGAGTCCTCCCTGGCCATGAACACCTCATTCTGACCCTGTGCAGGAGTCCCTTTTTGATTATTGATTTTGATGTCAAATTTCTTTATACTATGCTATTTTCATCTTTGTTTCAAACATTTCTAGTCCACCAACCCTTTTATTCCCCTCAAACTTCTGACCACAGTGGAGGGAATTGCTAGTTCCTCCTCATGCTCTGCGTGATGATGGAAAATGGGGAAAAACAAAACAGAAACAAAACAAAAAACATTGCATCAAAATCTTTTAATCCAGACACCTGACCCCAAAATCCAGCTTGCTATCTCTCTATGAGAAGCTTCTCTTTGAGTATTGGAGATTTCCAGACTGCAGGTGGGAAGACACGCCTGGGACACTCTGCCTATCACCAGCACTTCTTAGACATCACAAAGCCAGCTTGGATGTTTCCACTTGCCCCTTCTTATGTAGTGTGTCTAATATATGTCACCTATCTCTGGTTTCCATACTCTACAATATCAGAGAAGATGGAATTTCAAGTTTTGAGCATTTTTCTTCCTTCCATTACAGTGGAAAGGTTGATAAGGAACATGAAATATCAAGAGACAAATGAAAAAAAAAGTAGGTACTTTGGAAATAATGTAACCACTAACTCTTTTCCCTTTCTTGGTGATCTTCATACTGGGGCAAAGTGTACTGTCACACATCCATCTTTCCATACACATTGGTGAGTCTACTTTTCCTAGAAAAATACAGTCATGCATCACTTAACAATGGAAGTATGTTTGGAGAAATGTTTCCGTAGGCTATTTAATTGTTTTGCAGACATGATAGGGTATACTTACACAAACCTAGGTGGTATAGCCTACTACACATCTAGGCTACATGGCAGAGCCTATTGCTTCTAGGCTACAAACCTGCACAGCATGTTACTGTACTGAATACTGTAAGCAATTATAATATTTGTGTATCTAAACATGGAAAAGGGACAGCAAAAATACAGTATAAGAGATTAAAAAAAAAAGGTACACCTGTATAGGGCACTTACCATGAATGGAGCTTGCAGAACTGGAAGTTGTTCTGGGTGTCAGTGAGTGAGTAGTGAGTGAATGTGGAGGCACAGGACATTACTGTACACTACTTTAAAAAGGCTGTACATTTAGGCTGCTCTAAATGTGTTTAAAAATCTATTTTTCTACAATAATAAATTAATGTTAGCTTACTGTAACTTTTAACTTTATGAGTAATTATTTAACTTCTTGACTCTTTTAACATGGCTTAAAACACACATTGTACAGCTGTATAAAAATACTCTCTTTCTTTATATCCTTATTCTATTAGCTTTTTAATTGCTTCTAAAACTTTAATGTTTACTTTTTAAACTATTTTTTAAAAAAACTAAGACACGAGCTCACACATTAGCCTAGGTCTCCCAAGGTCAGGATCATCAATATCATTGTCATCCATCTCCACATCTTGTCCCACTGAAAGGTCTTCAGGGGCAGTAACATGCATGGAGCTGTCATCTGTGATATGATGCCTTCTCCTGGCATATCTCCTAAAAAAACTGCCTGATGCTGTTTCATAGTCAACTTTTAAAATTATAGATAAATCAAAGGAATACACTCTAAAGTAATAATAAAAAGTATAGTATACACAAACCAGTAACATAGTTGTTTATTATCAGTATCAAGTGTTATGTACTGTACACATTATATGTGTTATACTTTTATATGACTGACAGGGCAGTAAGTTTGTTTACACCAGCATCATTACAAACATGTGAGTAATGTGTTGCACTATGACTTTAGATGTCTAGAAATGATATTTTCTTAAAGTTAATTAGACTACTCAGGGTAAAATGTGTATAGTTAATTACTTCAATAGTGAGAATGTGTGATTTTAAAATTCTACATATATGTGAACACACAAAATTAAATAATATCTTGTATTTTTGATGATATTTTTGTTTCAGTGATATTTGGCTATTTGTGAAGATGTATATTTAGATGCTATATGTACCATTAGATGTCATCTGGAACTAATTATTACTAATAATAGCTAGTAAATAACTATTGATCAAATTTTAATAAAATGATGCAAAGATATTTACAGAGGCCAACAGCAAAATAAAAATGAAATTAAAAGCTTGTCCTTTTTTGTATTAGGAAAAAATAATGATCCAGTATTAAACACTTTTATAACACTTTTCTTTTCCTCTTTTCGCTTTTTATCATTTTTTAAAATCTATTCTTTGGAACAGTTTAGAACCATTGCATTTGAATACATTGAAATTCTGAAAAAATCTGATTTTTGTACATGCCAATTCTTCATCTAGAGGTTTTTTTTTTTGGAAAAAAATTACATATGTAGAAGTTGAAAACAGGTGCATATATAAAACAAAAAAAAAGATCATTGGAAATGTAAAATACTTTTTACAAACTTTGGCATGAATTTCTATGTAACACTTGGAAAGAACTGGAGAGAATATCAGTAAAAATTTAAGAAACAGTTTTTGAGTATTGTAGGGTGTCTCTTTAATAAGAATTTATCACAGTCAATTTTTAGCTATTTTAAAACAGAGCCTATTTTAACATTATTTCAATAGTCCCACTCTTTTATTGGAAACAATGTAGATAAAAATTTAAGAGACACTTTTTGGGAAATTGTGTAATCTGGCCAATGTTTTAATTATTTAAGAGTAGAAAATGCTTTTTATATTCTCTTTTTTAATCTTTTATTTCAATCATGCATGTACTCAAAAGAATTGTATCACATCTTTGCTAAGCTTTTTATTAAAGAGAAAGGTATTGAGTGCCTACTATAGGTTAGGCACTTTATCTTGGTATTAGTACATAAAGGAAGCAAAGACCCTTCTTGTTTGGGATGAAAATAAAATAAGGAAACTAGAAAATAATATGTATAAGCTAAAATATATAATAGAAGGAATGTAAGGCTATTTTAAAATGGGTGTCAAAAAACTCCCTGCTAAGTCCATTTAAACTAAGAAAACTAGGATGATGAGTAACCATCACATGAATACATGTGAGATGCATGTACCCAGTAGATGAGCTAATGCGAAAAACCTTAGGAGGAAAGGACTCGGAATGTTGGAGGAACAGAACGAAGGTCAGTGTGGTTGAGCCAGGATGCAGAGACAAGGAATGTTGGAAGCTAAGTTCAGTCTGGTTGACTTATTACTCCTCACTATGTAACAGTAATAATGCTGTTGAGGACCGTTCAAGGGATGCCAGTGGGGCTGTGGGTACTAGATCTTCTATCTTTGAGCATAGAGGGTATTTCAGCCTCAAAGGCACAGAGTTAGGAGATGTTACCAGCTCTCTGAAAGATGTGAGAGGACTTCATAGAGTAGATATATGAGAGATTACAGCCAAGGACACGATGCTACACATATTCTTCCTGACTCCTTGGATGACCTTCCCCCAACCTCTTGTCAAGGCAAGTTGTTGGGAGAAGTAATTGGGAGAACTTGAACCTGGAGAGTAGCTGAGAAGAGTTGCTGTGGAGAAAAGGCATTTTTCTGTTTTACTCGCGTTAATCAAAATTATTTTATGGTGAAACTAACAAATGTTCTTTCAATAAAAATTATCCAGATTCATTAAGACAGATTGTTAATATTTTTCTTCTAAGTTGTATAACATTACTGAAATGCTGAAGGTTTTACAAAGGGAGTCATGGCACCAGTACCAATACTCAGTCCACTTTTGCTGAAAGAAATGCATCAATCAATAAGTAGTAATCAGGCATCTAGTCTATGCATAATAGATTGACAAATCCCCGCTCTGCAGAAAATTATCCTCTATTCGGGGATAAATAATATAGGCTAGCAGAAAATGTAATTAACACTGAGTTGATTCAATATCATTATACTTATCACCCACTTCATAATATCAAAAATAAATGTATTGAGCACTTACAATGTTCAGAAATGCTTCTCAGTGCTTCTAAACACAGACCATGTAATCTAATCTTCACGATAATTCTATGAGGTACGTAGAAGGCATTATACCCATTTTGTAAATGATGAAACGGGGAGACAGAAAAACCAAGAAAACTGCAGAACTGACAAAAAGAAACGCAATAGGAATTGAGAGAGGAGAGGGCCCTTTTAGCATGAGGAGAAGTGAAAGAAGCTTTGATCTGGGGCTTTAAGTACAGGTGGATTTCTGAAAGGGGGAATTGGGGAAGGGAAAGGAGAGAAGAGAAGGAGTACATTCTGGGCTGAAGGAGTTTCTCAGGAGAACTTTTGGAGATCAGAAATCAGATCTCAGGTGTATCAGAGAGGAAGGATCATGGAGGGCCGTGCATTGAGAGATACTGAGGTGTTCACCTTTGCAATTTTTTGTATGAGGCTGTGTTGAAGAGTTAGAGTTAGGAAATTATTACCATGGTTTAGAGGAGGTATGACAAGGACGGGAATTAGTGTGGAGCTACTGGGTCTTGATATGAGGTAGCAGATGTGGCCAGCGAGCTTTGCAGGGAATAATCCATAGGCTTTCAAAACTAATTTGATGTGAGAGCTGCCCTGGGTCTGGTTGTGAAGCATTGAGTTGCTTAACAAGTGACCACCGGATGGAGCTCTCCATTAAGTAGCATAGAATGGCATCCCAGGTCTTTCAGTAAAAAGGATGAGAGATAAAACACAGGAAAGATTTGCACAAGGGTTTATGAAAATAAGGTCCAATAACTACAATAAATAAAAAATAATAAAAATAAGATTCTAAACAATACAAATTTCCACAAACAACCACTAAAACACATCTCCTGAAACAAATTAAGAATTAAGCACTAGAATGTGAGTAGAAATATATTTGTACTTGAACTAATTATCATAAAACTATATTTATAAAGGAAAACTGTGTATATTGTATGTGTATGTATATACACACATACACATTTTGATGTGAAAATTTTTATCTAGGAATTTATCGTAAATTAAACTATCGATGGTGACCACAACTCTGTGTGTGTATAAATGAACATACATATGTTCTGTGCAGTGCTACTTTAATGTAATTTAAAAACATGATACCTAAATGGCCAATGATAAAAAATTGGTTGAATTAAACAAATTATTATATAGTAATTTAAGTTACATTTTCAAGAATATTTAATGGCTTATGCTATTTCTAAGAGATATTAAATACAGAAAAAGTAGTTTATTAAGCAGTATATAAAGTATGATCCATATTTAAAATTTATATTTTAAACATGCATATGTGTTTATACATACGTACAAACATTATATATATATGTATACATCAATGTGATTTGAAGGCTATAAACCAGATTATTTAAATAGATTGTCTTCAGATTTCTGGGTTATGGACAAGTTTTTAGTTTTAGTTGTTTTTCTAATTTTGTGTCATAAAGATTCTCTAATAAAGCATGGTTAAAAATAAACTATATTGTGTATAAATTATAAATTACAGTACTCTTATAATTTAGTTTAAAAATTTGGTCACAAATAATACTGAAGCTCAGCTCTATTAATGTAATTGAAGCCTCCCTCAGGAGTTTGCACACTCAACCTAGTTGATTTTAACTGCAGGTATGACTACTCTTTGGCTACTTTGAGATTCTGGAATGATGTCAGGAAGACAGCTGTGCAGCTGTGCAGCTGTGCTTCTGCAAGCGGGCCTTGACTTGAAATATCCACCAACTGGACTGCTGTACTTGAATTTATCCTAGCAGGATTTTTTCCTTGCCATTTGTGATAGTAAAACAAGAATGCTCTGAGCATCTGCTACATACTTAGTTCAGCTATAAATTTAGCTCAAAACACAGGAACTGTTTATGACCTGCTTTTTATTTATTTATTTTTAGTGCAAGAATGTTGTGGGCCTAGGAATTTGGGTAGCCTAAAGTTACCTGATTCTGTTTTAAGCCTTTCAATTTAAGATATGAGGAGATGCTCGATATAGAGTTATGAAAAATATACCTCCTTAATCTAGTACCACATTTGAAGCTTACTTTATATTTAAGGGTTATAGCCTTCATAATACTATATCTTGGTTCATTTCCTAATAGCAAGAAGTTTTTGCATATTAACTGTGCTAGGTATTTTTTATGTCTTATGGCATTTAATCTTCCTCAGGTTTGTGCCAGCCAAATAGAGCTAAACCATTTTTGTAAAAGAATTATGGCTCAGAACTGATAAATAACTTGCTCAAAATCACATAGCTACTTACTTGGTGAAAAGAGAGGAGTTCTGGATTTATGCCTATCTACATCCAAGCTTCTTTGCCTTCTGCCAAGATTCCTTGTAAACCCTCTGGACACTCTTCCCCATGTCGTTGTTACTAATTCCACTTTCTCCTCCTTAGTTGTAAACATCTCTTGAGATCTTTTCTTCTGTCTTTTTCTGATACTTCTTGTTGAACTGAACCATTGGTATTGCTTTTATTATTCTTATATGGTTAACTTGCACAAGTGATACTATTGCTCTAGCTTCTACACTTAACTTCAACTCTAACCAATTACATATTTTTAGGTGAATTACGTTTTGAAAGTCAAACATTGTGGTGGACAGTGCAAAGGTGCTCCCAACGAGTTTGCCTCCTAGTATCCACCCTATTGTGTAATCTTGTCATCCAGAGTGTGGATATGACTTTGTGATACATAGCCATGACAATAAAAACTATGCATAATTTTAAATTAAGGAACTATTCCAGGAAGTCAGATATCATTTCTAGGTGCCATGGCTTCTGCTCAAAAGCTTATAACTTTTACTTCTCACTCCATAAATTACATATGCTTGAGTTTTGTGTGGTGCAGCAAAGGGCTTAAGAGTTTAGAAAATCCTCTCTGTTGTCTCTCTCCTACATGGCAGAATCTCACTGTTAATTGGCTAGTAGCTGTTGTCATAACCTGAGTGCATCCTCTATATGGTAACTGCTGGAGAAGTGAGGCCATACACAATGATCATTCCTCAGCCTGTAATCCCATTTGCATCCCCTGAGACTATTGCAGGAAATAAGACAAAAGTTGTCTTAGGCAAATGTACAACTTTCAATATTTTTTTCTAATCTTATCTTCTGGAGGAATAATTAATCAAATTTAGGGAGCTTTATGGAAATGCCTAAGTAAGAGATGCCATGGTTGGCTGGTTGGATAGACACTCTTTTCCCAGCCAAATCAGAGATCTCTAGGTGAAAATGGCTGGTGAAAGACTATGGCCTGAAAAAAGTCTTCAAATAGTCCAGTTATTAACAAGATGAGGTGATGTCTTCACAGAAATAGAGCGGGATGAGGCATAAAACAAAAACAATGCAGAGGCTTTAGCGTCCTCAGGATGATGACATGCTACCTCTTCAGTTTCTGGGCTTATATTCATGGAAGACACTTAGATATTGTAAGGTTATCTGCTCAATTGACACAGGTTACATGTGATTATTCTATTTCTGATAATAAAGCTACATTCCTCATCTTAACACTGGGACTGCTTATACTTGCAAGGCTCTAGTCCACACCTTGTCCAAATTCCTCAGAATTTCTCAGGTCACAGGCAGACTAGGGCTGTCTGATTCCACAACTCATTTTATTTTCATTAAATTGGTAACACAGTTTATTTTCTCAAGATGCAATTAAATTCTAGGAGAAAAAATAAGTAATTTTTTACAATACATTTGGAAAAGAAATAATACTAACTATAAGGTAAGGGTATGACAAAGCAAAGAAAATGAAGGTGAAAGACAAGTAACGGGAATCAATGATACAAAGTATAGAAGAAGAGATTGGCTCTGACTTATAGGAGGACCATAGACAGGAGTAATATTTTGATTGAGATTTCAACAATGAGTATAATTTGAACATAAATATTAGGGGAGAGGCATGGCTCTGAGATAGAATGTGAAAACATTCGATAGGCAGAAGCAACCTTTTATTAGAAGTGATAGAGGTAGAAAAGCATAAATAATATTAAAAGAAAAGGCTATCTCATGAACGGTAGATATATAAAAAATAAAGATAAGAGTAGGTTGAAATATTGGATTAATTCTCTAGTCACTCAGGAGATATTGCAGGTATTTTTAAAATCAGTTGCCATGAAGCAAAAAAGTATGATAATTTGACTGGAAGAATAAAAGTGAGTGGAAATGGAAAGATCAGTTTAGAGAGTATTCTCAGTTAAAGTTTGTAAGGGATTCTACCAGGACAGTTACATTTAGAATAAAGAAGAAATGCCTGAGTAGGTACAGCCAAAAACCCAAGTGAATTTGGGATTTGGCGGATAGAAAAGCACTGATGAAGAGAAGAGACTCAAAGTCTTTAGCTTATATAAATAGATGATGCTAGAAATAGGAAAGTCATGAGGAAAAGGAAGCCATGAGGTGGTCTGGGCAATATGTAGATAACATTGTTTTTAGGAATGTTAATTCTAAAGAAATGATAATCACATTTTCTAACTAGGTCTAAATGAGAGAGACTTGTGTGGCCATCAATAACTGGAGCACACACAGAAAGGTAGGCTATTATGTCAGGGCCCAGTCATTGTATTAAGTGGGTTACTATATTTATAGTTTGTGGTGAGATTTACAATACAATTGTTCAGTTATGGACTTTTAAAATGAAATGAACAGTACTTCCCAAAAAAAGATGTTCAAGTTTTTTTGGAGCAATTTCTTTCTTTCAGCAGGAGATAGACAGCAAGGATTTTCATCTAAAAATGGCAGGGCTTACTAACAGGTAAATAAATAATTTCTCTTTCCATGAAAAAAGTCAGAAAGACAAAATTGATTAATAGAGAAAGAAAGAACCTGAACAGACAGCAAAGTATGGTAGACTATAAGTAGTGGAGGCAAATAGAGGACACGGGGGAGAAAGCCCGACATCTTGGTGCAGAAGAAAGATAGTAATGGAAGCCTCCCTGGGCATACTTCACAGTGCATGAGGTACATAGAACATATACAAGACAAAGTTGAACTTCAGAAAGCACAGAAACACAATTATGAGGCTTTATTAGTGGGTAGCAAGCCCTCAAAATTATGGAAATATCATGCTAGGACACTTATTGAGGGAGTAGGCAAGCCCCAGGCAGTGCAGTGCACATTGGAATGAAGATGGAGGTCTTCTGAGACAATGATTAACTCAGGTTGTGGTATCAATGGTGATTAACCAACTTCAGAAGATGGACAAGAACAAGAAGACCAAATAAATAGAATAAAGCAGGGTTGTATTCTAAAAATAGAATACAAATTAGGCTTGGAAAGTATTATCAACCCTCAAGAGAAGAGGAATAATTGTAAAACTCCAATATATGATGTATTGTTTTCTTGGAGGCATCTGAAATTCACTGTGTGTCTGTAATTTACTGCTTTATTAAATTTCATCATTTAAAAGTTAATAAGAATTTATTTTTCAGTTATTCCCAGATAATGAGCTCAGGGCCCTGAGTTGTCTAGTAACCAATGCACTCCTAGTGCCTAACGCAACCTTGGATAATAGATGACAAATAGTTTTGAATTAGAGAATGACTAGGTGAATGAATTTTAGTCCCAAATTTGCCATGAAACAGAAATCATGTAATAGAACTTACTGAGTCCAAGTGTACTCTGAGGAACATCTTGTCACTATGATAGTGTCAAAGTAGGAGATAAAACTCTCTGATCATGTCTACCTGGACTTCTATCAATATAGCAGGAAGCCAGTCTCTGACAGTTATAGATCCAGGGAGTGTAGATCCCTTTTGAGTTGTTTGCTGATAACCAGAAAATTAGGACAGTGATTTAACATGGTAATAGTTTGGACGTAAGTTTTGAAAATGTTTAATTCAACACAAACCTGTCTATCAGACAGAATAAAATATTGTTTGTAATGTTTTTCAATATTAATTAATAATAAATGATTTTTAAATAATTAAACACGTTAATACACATATATTATAGGTTTAAGGAGACATTATAAACGTAATTGCCCTAATATTGGTCATGAGGTATATTTTCTATAATGAACAGGAAAATTATTATTTCTGTTACCTGTAACAACTACTTTTTAACTGACTCTAATACACTATTTAAGAGATAACTAGATGGATAGACAGTAGACATGGTTCAATGATAGTATATATGGTTAGTGTCAGACCGATATTAGTTCCACATAAATCATTTTGTCTATTCTAAAGTGTTTTTCTGAAATCCTTTTTCTTTCTCTTAACTATATGTGCCCCAAATACATTTCATAATATTAATAGAAACTTAAATTTTTGTATTGAATATTCTATAAGGGCTCTTAATGCACTAGATTTTTTGGCTCTGTATTTTGGTTCTTTATACTTAAGCCAGCTGTATAAGGTTCCATTTTTGTACATTCGACTACTTTTAGCACAGCAGAGTGCCAACTTCACTGACTTTTTTTTCATACTGCCTGCTCTATATTTATTATTCTCCTCAGAGTTTTCAAATTTAACAAATTCACAGATGCTTTCTCTGTCTAGGCTCATTTATGTAGATTTTTATAACAGTAAATATGTCTACTGACCCACTCAACACGTCTCTTCTTGCAGTTCTGGTAAATTCTCAGTGTTTTAATCATCTCTTTTACTCAGAAATTTGCCTTAGTGTAATCATTTCATTATGTGATGTTTGAAAACTGTTCTTAGCCATGATAGTGTAGAGATTAATAGGACTTAAATTATTGTTTGCACAGAATTTTATGATCTCATCACACCCATTTGTTTTCTATTAAAAATACATTATTAACCCTCTCTATTTGAGAAGAGATCAATATAATTTTAAGTTTTATGGTCAGCAGTACTTGGCAGGACACCTCATTGATTTTAGAGACACATTTGGACATATTCTTGATTATACTGGCAACTAATATCTCTGCAGTGAAATCATTTTCTTGGACCATGGCCAACTAAATTTCCAGAAAATTGAGTTATTATTCAAGAAGAAGAAATAAGCTAAATGTATATTTTCCACTAGTAAATTTTATATTTTTCCTTTTGTCCATATCCTAAGCATTTACATTTTAATGTAAAATACAAATATAAACTACTAAAAGAAAGATGTGCTAGCTGTTACCTTGAAAATAAAGAAATAAAAATGTTTTTAATCATGTAAGTAGAAGAACTAATTTATAATATCTTTGTTTCAATTTTACCACTTGCAAATTATAGCTTTCTGCATCTCTCTGCTGACATGGTATTTAAGGATGTTTTTAGAGAATGCCTATAGAATTGCAATATTACCACTTTGAACAGCAACAGATTTGAAAGATTTTATTCTTGGTATCAATGAATCACATAGTAAATCCCTTTTCAATTATTCATGATGATGACATTTCTTTATATTGAAAATTCCATGTCTGCATAGATGATGTTTTCTGGCCTATGGTAAAATTAAACACTATTAAATCTGTTGTCAATCTATAATTCAGCATAGTTAATTCCACTCTGAAGTTACTGTTGATGATCTTAAGGTGAGAGAGAGAATTAGCTACGTTTCTGGAGCCAATTTTGTGTCTGGTAAAAATAATAGGAGTTGAGGATACAAATTGTAGTAAGGTCATAAATTTTCCTGCCTTTGATGAAAAACTGTTTTATTTATTATCTCATGAATGTATACTATCATTTTTCTGCCTATTATAGCTGGTGTTATATTCAGTAATGATTCTTTACAATAACCACTTTCCAAAAGATCTTGCTGCTTTTAGCTAACTAATTGAAAAGTTATTCTAGGATTTCATGAATCTTAAAGGAAGCTCAACTCATGTTGTCTGTTTTTCCTAGTCTTTTAGTATCCAGAAATCATACCTAGAATACCAATCAGGACTGAAATCTCAGCATTCCAGTAGAGAGTAGATTGATAATGAATCCATAATTATAGCTCTAAGATAATTACTAGAATGAGTTGAAGCACTGTTTTGTCCATAACTCCCAAATTGCAAATTGTGATATAAACTTTTATTAATATATAAGGATATTTTAAATTTCCAAAGGAAATAAAAATGTTGCCCACCACTTGTTATATCCTGTTTGCACTTTAGGCTATTGATATTTTCAATACATTTTCCAATAATTTTTATTAATTGGTACACATAGTTTAAATGTTTCACTATTGTAGAGTGAAATCCTATTTGCTACAGCATACTTAAGGAACCTGCTTTGGTCTAAGAATTATGTATGTTAATCTTCTCCTTAAGTTAATTTCTAGAAATATCTTCATATCTCCCAAATGGTCATTAGATTCTTATATAACTAAATTATTTGGCAGCTTTAAAAATCATATCATATTTTAAATATGCATAATCTACTGAACAGTGGGAAAGTTATCTAAAGTTATCCCCTTTAGGGCTCTCACTTTTCATAAACATTCTTTTAACAGATATAAAACTGAAATTTGATCTCTAGGATATATGAACTGAAAGCACAGAAGAAATACAGCTAGTTAGTGTTTAAATAGAAGATTAATAGACGGGAAACCAAAGGTATGTCCTTGGCCAAAAGAAATAGTGAAATTGTTTTATTTCAAACTCACAGATGAATGATTCATATAAAAATACAGCACATGTGGAAATTAAGCATTTTTTAAAGTTATCAAATAATAATATAAGGATAATATATTGTGCTTGGCAGCATAGAAAATAAACTAGACTATACTTGCTCTAAAACATTTAAAACAGATGATACCAAAAATGATCAACAGTCATGATAATGAGTAAGAAGGATCATTTTATTTTGTAGAATTAATTGAAAATGAGACTATAAAGGAAAACATAGAGGTTGGTTTAAGGAATAACCAAGAAAAAAACTGAGTTATTATTTTTGGACTGACCAAAGCTTCACCAGAAAAGTTCGTAAAAGGATAGCAAGAGATAGGTATAAGAAATACTAAATAATAGAAATGCTATTTAGTTTAGAACCGGATATATATAAAGGATGGTAATATTAGAAAATTAACTTCACACTAAGTGATTTTATTATGGTAACACAAAATACATAAATCTCTGAGACAGATGATTTAATAACACATCCTTTTAAGTGCAATTTTTTGCACATTTGTAATTGTAGTTATTCTAATTTATATAATAAATTACATCAATATCCTACAGCAGTACAGTATTTACTTATAGCACCCAAAGAGCTTAGAATAATACAGCTACACAATAAGCTATATAGTGTATTAATATAATATATTACATTGTTGTATTATATATAATATTTATAAGCACTATATATTATTGCTATTGTTCATTTTCAAAGACAAAAATTTGCATAACTTTTAAATGGTAGTTGTAGATGTGAAATCAATTGTTATTATTAATAAAACTTTTAAAAATCAATTCCTTCAGTTAAAATTGAGGGTATATAAAAAAGAATCAACGTTTTTATTTAATATAACACATATATAGAATATCCAATGTATATATGATTTGTACAGATTTCTCCCCGCTTGGAGATTTAACTCTTGAGAACTTTTAAGGGAAATATTATTTAGGAAAAAATATATTCCCAGATTTCAAGTGTTTTTGAGAAGCTTTTATTCTGCTGTAACTTGTAAGGTATGAGTCAGAGCAAGTAGTCTGACCTACAAAGGGTTCCATGCTTTTTGGCAGAACTCTAAGTAGTATATCAGTTCATTCCCATTCCAAAGATCACTAAGTAGGTAGGCTGCTTTCCTTCTAATTTCATGCAGGAAGAGTCCTGCAGAATGTCCTTAATAATTGGGCTTTTGGGGCAGTTAATGAATTTCAGAACATAGAGTCTTCCAACCCTAGCAGAGGCTTCCTCACCTCTGTCTCATGCAAGGCAACAGACTCCTCATGAGTGATACAGCTCCTCTGTGCCAGCCACATAAGGCGTCAAGAGTGAAACAGCTTTGAGAATACAACCATTGCATTGCTATGTTCAGATTAGCATCAGCATTAATCATTCATCCAATTTACTCTTTGGACTGTCCTCAATGGTTGGTGGAAATTATAAAGCATGTGCCAGAACACTGCTGTTTCAGTGTTAGGGGCATATGGACCCTAGCATGAGAGCCTGAGCTGGAACATTCAGAACCATTATGCTTTTTAAAAGCATTGAAATACTATGAAGACTTCAGGTTTATATATTTCATTTTTCTCTTAAAATGGGTTTTTTTCATCAAATTTATTATACAAAAGTCCAATTAATGGTTGAGTGATATTTATTACCATAAAATAGTAAATTTTTAAAACTTTTAATACTGTTTCTATTTAAAAATGAAATCTAAACCCTTGTGTATTTTAAATTTTATTCAACTTTTTAAAAACAGATGTACCCAACTTCTTATGAATGAACATAAACCATGATATACGTATGATAGTTTTCCATGCCACCATACTTCAGTCTTGTCATCACATTCATTTCTCTAGCTGTGTGTGGTTGCGTTGGTGGGGAGGGTGGCATGGGGGCAATGGAGGCAGGTGATGATGCTAAATCATCCTCAGAGATAGGTCTGAAATGAACTTATTTCCAAATATAAGAAAGTTATTCATAGCCAACTAACAAAGTGTCTCCATTGGAATAACTGTTCAATTATAGTTAGAGGATCTGTAAAGGACTGGGCTAAAGGGACCAATTAACAAGTAAGTTCCAGATCTGCTATAAACTCCAATAACACTCTCAGGGTTGAGGGTAGGGTAAGATGGTGCAGGGCTAAATTTAGTCCCCTTAATTCTAAACTTAATCTGAAAAGGGGATTGGGAGAAACAGTTATTAGGTTTAGCAAATATATATAAGACACTCAGTTAATTGAATTTCAGATAGATAATGGATTTTTTTTAAGTATAAGTAAAGTATGTCCCAAATTTAGCATGGGACAACCATATACTATAAAAGTTACTCACTGTTTATCTGAAATTCATCTTGTATTTCTATATTTCATCTTGTATTTTATTTGGCAACCCTGAGGATTAGAAACCCTTCTGACTACTTCACAGGGAATTGGCCTTACTTTAACACTTAGATTGTGGTGTTCTCCTATAAAAAATAAACAATTTCACAGAATACCAACATTAGACAAGGAGTCACTCTAACCACCATGGAGTGAACAAAAATAAGACCATCTGTCACCATGTCTGAGCACAAATTAAACTGAAAAGAACAATTCAGATTTACCAACTGCAAGTTTCTTATTCCTATACAACTTAAAAGTACTGTTGCATGGCATGGTACCTGGTAAAATTCTGCATTTCTTTCTGCACCTTTAAAACCCTAAGCACTAAGAGTAATGGGCTCCAGCTCCATCAGAACAGAAAACCAAATACCACATGTTCTCACTTATAAGCAGGAGCTAAATGATGAGAACACACAGAGACGTAAGGGAGAACAACACACACTTCGGCCTATCCGAGGGTGAAGGATTGGAGGAGGGAGAGTATAAGGAAAAATAACTAATGAGTACTAGGCTTAATACCTAGATGATGAAATAATCTGTACAACAAACCCCCATGACACAAGTTTACCTATGTAACAAACCCGCACATGTACCCCTGAACTTAAAATAAAAGTAAAAAACAAAACAAAACCCTAAGCACTGCTTGCTCAATAGTCATGGCCTGAGGATCTTTGTGATGCATGGTTGTTTTTAAATAAACCTTTCCTTCCAGTTTTCAACAGTGTTGGTAGAAAAATTTCCCACATTGCTGAAGAACCCATTGGTTTAAATGAACTTGTTTAACACTTTTTCTCAAAAGGCATATCTGCAAAATAATTAGTCAAACTCTATTTCTTCTGGTATTTTTTGGTCCTTTTGCAATATGCTTAGTTGTTCATCAAGACACAATCTCTCCTTTATGCATAGTGAGAATAATCCAGATGGGCTTGTAGAGGGGAGTGCTCTGAATGTGCTTTCTCTGTATAGGCTCATAGCTGTGATACAACTTAGACTATGCAGATGAAGAACACATTCTAGGAAAGGGCAGAGGAACAAAGTGGGACAAACCTGTGTTCTGAATGAGCATAGGAAAAAGAAGAGCCTGCTGAAATTCACCCAGCCAAAGTGTCAGAGGAGAAAGAAATAAATATCTATCTTATTTACATCATTGTATTATGGGGGTCCTCAGTAACAGCAATTTAGCTTATACATTTTTTTTTACCACTCTATATTGAGTTTTTGTTAGTTACACTTGGTTTTCTTGAGCTTTTAATATTGTTTTTCAAAGTACTTATTGTAATTTGCCTAGGTAAAAAATGTGAAGAAAATAATGTTGCATGTTAAAGATGGAATCTGAAGTCAAATATCCTGGGTTAGAATTCAGATTCTATACTTTATAAAATATTTGTGTTTGAACTAATTTTAGCTCCGAATGTCTCTGTTTTCTCACTTGAATAATCATGACATTAATTATGCCTGCCTCCTATAATTATTTAATGAATTAAATGAGGTAATATCTATAACAAATTGAGTACATTTTCTAAAACATAGTATGTCCTCAATAAGTGCAATAATCATGATTGTCATAAATTTTTTCAAGGAGCAGTATTTATTAATAATAATAGTAAAGCAATAATTTACACATATTGAGTGCTGATGATATGCCAGATACTTTTCTAAAAACCTTGCAAGGATAGATCATATTTCATATTTTTATAAACTCAAGAGATATTTATTGAGTGCCTAATTTGTGCAGGCTCTGTTCTTGCTGCTACATAAAGTAGTGATAAAAACAGACAACCAAGCTTACAGGGTTATTTATATTCTACTGGACTAAATGGAACATTAACAAATAGTTGAATTTTAATGTATTAGTGACATGGAGAGCAATCAAGTAGGATAGATGAAAGGATGTTGAAATTTATATCATATAGAAATGTGTAGGGCTGTTAAGAAGGAGCCTTTTCTGATAAAGTGATATTTGTGGAGAAACCGGAAGGAAGTGAGGAGAAAGAGCAGTGATAATGGGGAAAGATGTTCTAGGCAAAGGGGGCAGAGTATTCAAATCCCTGAGGGTGGAGCTTACTTGGCATATTTGTGGAGCTCCCATGAAGCCAATGTGACTGGAGATGTGGGTTAAGTGTGAGGAAGGAAGAGCTTAGGTTAGATTATAGTGAGCAGGTCCCTATCACGAAAAATGTTATAGGCCACTGTTAGGACACTGGCTGTCAGTCTGTATGTTTGAGAAGCGGGCTTCCTGGTCTGTGTGCTGTGTGCTTTAGTTCTAGCCTTCCTGGGGTAATACAAAAGGTAAATTCCACTACGTTTTGTTATAAGAGTGACTTTTCTACAACTGAAAGTGGAATTATTCCCTTAAGCAAAAATGTGAACAACAAAACATGTCTTGGGTAACATGATGAGCTATCAACTTAACTGTCGCAGCCAAGTCATGAGAGTTTAATTTTTATATATTTTAAAAATATCTAAAATCTATTTAGTGTTTATGATATACGGTGTTCCATGCTAAGTGCACAAACTTGAATTGCTGTCATGACAACTTTATGGGGTAAAATTAATATATTTTTCAATTTTTACAGATAAAAGGCTAAGTGATATCTGGTAAGTTTTGGTGGCAGTGCGCAAACATAGTCAATGTGACTTATCACTGTAGCATGTAACCTCTACTTTCTGTGTTGCATTCTGTCTCACAACCACTATTGAACAGGCTACATTTTTTAGGGGATTTTGAGGTTTCTTTGGCTATTAATTTCAAATTTCTAAAACTTGTCTTTCCAGTACTTTTGTGTTTGTTTGCTGCTTGTCTGTAATTTCCTTGCCTGTGGTTTGCTTTCGGTTCTATCAGCTATTTTGATGTCTGTTTAATATTGAATTAGCATTTGAGCAATCTTTCTGCCAGTACTAAATTGGCTCATTTTTCCTTCAACAGTTCAGTACACTGACCATGCACAGCAGCCTGTGTGATTTGCTAAATTGAGTCACTTGTGCTGTTATTTATGCTTATTATTAACTGTTATTTGCATGGAAAACTGTAATCTTGATTTACAGTGATAACATTAATTGACTGTATTTGATTGTGCACCTTAACTCTACATAATTTGCCTATAAATTTTCAGAATATTGTAGCATTGTTTAGCATGGGAGGCTCATGATCATTTCTGCAAGGTTGTCATATCAATGTTGTTTTCACTAATTGCTTATATGTAGTATACAGCTTAACTCTACAGAAAGGTTTGCAGTTTTCTGCGAAAACAAAATTCCCCTTTGTCGTCTCTTAACAATGTTTACTTCTCCTACTGCTTTCTAAATCACAAGGCCACGAGACCACTGGTTTCTGCCTGTGGCCAGAAAAACCGTTCAGTCCCAAACACAAATACCCTTGAAAATATAACTTAAGCTAATAGAAAAGGTGGAGATTAGTAGGTAGTTACAGTGGCTTTTCCATAAACCGTCTGCATCAGCAGGCTTTAATAACTGGCATTTCCTACCTCAGTCCTCACATTAGTGCTCTGCACCCTGGCTCTGACTCAGAATCACCAGTGGAGTTTAAAGTGGCATATATAGTCAAGAGCTTTTCATTCCATTTCCTAGAGAGGTGAGGATGAATGCTGGCAAATCTGTATATCATATCAGGGATGAATCTAATGCATAGCTTAATTGAGAATTATCTTTCTCCATAATCAGAAGGTACATTGAGGAACAAGATTGGAACACATGGTTTCAGAACCCTGGCCCATTTTGGTGAACTTGTGACCAGACCATATTTAAAGAGGCTCGCAGCCCCATAGGAATTGCTTTGAGTCACTTATCTATTCTCACTCTGCCCTACCACACCCTCAGGACACACATTTTGTGGTTAACTCCACATAACTTAGTGAAATAGCTGGGGTAAAAAGGAGACCAATAATGCTGAAGACAAATCACAAGCCCTGGAGTTTTGTGAAGTAAGTAGTCTGCCTATTGAGGTGATTGTGTACTATCTATCTCTCCTTTCTTCACCTACTTCCTTTCTCTTCCACTCCAAACGCCTGGTCACCATGGGGCAACTTCTCTAGTTTGTCCTAACCTGAATATGACAATAAGCAACTATTTTTCTCTTTTCAGGATAAACTCCATACTATTTAAAATGCTTAATACTCCCAAAAAGATTTTACACACGGACATTGTGATCAGCTTATTTGTCTATTATTCCATCTGGTTTGAGCAATAGAAGATAAAATAATTTGGAAAAGTCAAAATAAATGAATGCAAGTCTATCTAATGTCACAAAAATTTCAATTTGGTGAAATAAACCCTGCACAATTTTACTCAGTTGATAATAAGCAAAATTTTGCTCATTTTTAACTTTACTGTAAGTATACTAAGCTTTGCTCTCTAAATAAGTGGAGAGACATGCCATGTTCATGAACTGGAAGATTCAACAATGTAAAAATGTCCATTCTTCCAAAACTGATATTGAAACTGGTTTCATGCAGTTTCTATCAAGATTGTACCATGGATTTTAGTAGACTTAAATAAAAATTTTTGATTTAAATTTTAATAGACAAGCTTGTTGTGACATTTACATAGAAGGGCACAGGACCTAGAATAGCTGAAGAATTATGAAAAAGAAAAATAAAGTGGGAGGAATCAGTTTACTTGACTTTAAGACTTACAAAATAGTAAGCCTAATTAAAACTCTGTGGTATTCTTAGAGGGAAGAACACAAACAAATTTTGTGATTTAATTTTTCTATCTGTGATCAAAGAAAGGATATCATGTTGTTTCTTTGAATCACTTTGGTTTGGCATTTGTGACCAGCATGATCTTGCAGTGTTGGAGATATTAAAATATTTAGCCATTAAGATCAATTATGTTATTCAGTAAACTTTTCTTTCAGCACCTAAAATATTCAAGTGATTATTTCAATATCACAATACTTTTATACTTATTTGTAAGCATCATTAGGACTATTTCCTTCTGCTGATATATGTATAATTGTAACATATTATAGAAATAGAATTGCATCAAATTCAATTTTAAAACCAAATTCATTTGGTCATATTTAATTTGAGGTTATAATAGCAAATGTGAAAATTTTCATTATATAAAGCTAAAAATTCGATTTTATAAATTATTCTCTTTGTAAAGTCTGCAAATACCTATGCTAATTAATAAAATCCTAGGTTGACAAGATCCCAAAGATAATTTTGCCCCACACTAGAGAGATAATATAACTTTTGTTAGGTCAAAATAATCTGAATTCAACCAACTATGATCACCTCTTCATCGTGTGTTTATTCCACTTTGCTTAACTGTTAGAAGTTTGAATTTTTATGCTTTTTCTCTCTATACTCTATAAAACACACTGGTGAAATTATTCACTCTGAAACCAGTTTGTCAGTTACCATTGTTATTTTAGTGGTTGTTGTTGAAAGAGTGGTTCATTTGTAGCCCCTGTGTACATTTACTTAAACAAAAATTATATTACCATGAGATGATAGACGTGATCTACCATACAAATGTCCATTCACTTTACCTTGATAATTCATTTGTGTTAACATCTACCTAGACCAATCTACTTTCCAAAAATACCAAAAGATGAGAAACATAAGGCTCAGGAGAAAACAGTGAACTGAAATGGTTTTGCCTGAAGCCCTCCTCTACGAAAAAGGCACAGACTATCTATGCACATTGGTTAGAAGCTGTGTGTTCCTCTCTTTTCCTTTCATACATTTAAATTTTCTTCTATCACCTTCAGCAGTTTTTATGCAAAAAATTGTTACTAACAGACATATAATAAGGGAAATAGGATGATTGCAATTCTGTGGCTTTTGGGGTGACTCCATACATAGGGCCTTGTGTGTATCTGTGCAAATACATACTCAAATAGAAGCTCAATACTGTCAATACTGATCTGTTTTTCCCAAAGTTTAAATGACAGGCCATCACAAACTGTTGTAAAACTGCAGCAGGAATGTTTACCATGGCTATTCTGTATAGCTCTTCAGAAATAGAGTAATTAAAGGAAAGATTATTTTACAATTGGATTTGGTTATTTATTAAAGATTACCACTCCCTCTCTCTTCTAAAAATAATAATTAAAATGCCTAATTACAAAGAAAGAGATAATCTAGCATCTGAGAAGACTTTTCCCATATGATGCTCTGTTTGCCCCTGGAGCTAGTTCTTCCTCACTGTTCAAAATCTTGTTCCCTTTTTTCTTAACTTGTTTCATTTGATACTTACTTTCCTCCTCTGTGCTTTAGATTTTTCTCTTCCAACTGAATGATTACAGCATTCAGATATGCCCTAGGATTCCCCCTTATTAAAAAATAAAATAAATCAAATAAAAAACCTCTTTGACAAAGATCACATCTAAAATATAAAAACCCTTTCTGTTTTTATTCATGTAAGTTTCTCTAAAAAGCCATTTAGAATTATAATTTTCACTTATTCTGTTCCCTTTCACTCTAAAATTTACTTCAGTCTGGTTTATACTCACATTGTTACAGGAAACCTGCTCCCTCATCAGTCCTTCATGACTAAGGGATTTAAATGACCCTGCATTTACTCTTCAGCCATAAACCTGCTAATGAATTGCAAATTTATGTATTCACGAAAACATTTGACATATTCACTAAATGCTTCTCAGTGATTTCTACCTCAAAAGTTTAACTAAATTATTGCTTTTTCTTTTTTTGACAGATTTTGCTTGTTACTTTTTGCTTTGTTTTATGGTCAGGAGGCAGGGAAATACTAGGTAAAAAACGGTGAGGTCCCTGGCGAGGGTTGCACCCTCAAGCCTTGACCTGCTGCATGAAATGAAAACTTTACATGTCTACTTTCCAACTCTAATGTTGCCTTTTGGCCCACCACACCCCCTACCCTGTGCCCATAGGAACCTCAGGCCCCAGATTCAGGGGACACATACACACAGAAGAGAGAACTGTCTGAATGTTGCAAGGAGTAGAAGGAGCTGGACATTGAAGACTACAGTCAGGGAGGAGTTTGGCCAGGGATGGTTGGGGAGGAGTTTGGTCTGGGACAGCTGAACTCTAGAGGAAGACCACCTTCCCACTCTATCCCCTTTCCACCTCCCCATCCCACTAGGAGCCAGTTCCACCACTCAATAAAATCTCCCCATTCAACATCTTTCAAGTCTGTGTGACCTCATTCCTCTTGGGCACTGGACAAGAATTCAGGATGCACTGGGTGCAGGAACCCAAAAAGGCTGTCACACTGGCCTTTTGCCATTGCTGGTGGAAGGCAGCCACCCCATGTGATGAGGCAAAAGGCTCACTGAGCTGGTAACATGCCCTCTGGAGCTTTGGGGATCACAGGCACCCCCTCCTGGATGGCAGATCTAAAAGAGCATTGTAACACACTTGGATGCTGCCACATGGCCTGTACAAGGCCTGCTCTCACCAGAAAGAAGTGGCCAGCAGTTCCAGTGTTTATTCACTCCAGTTCCCACTCCTGTCTGCTCATGTGCTCTGTCCCATAAAGGGTAAAGAGTGGTAGCCGAGTAAATGAGCCACCTCTGTTGCAAGTCCTGCGAAGGGGTCAAGGAATTCTCTTGTTTCATCTGGGGACTTGCCCAGATCTGTCACAAGGGTGAGTTCAGATGCAGAACTGTCTCTTTTCCAAGACCCTGCCACCTCTCTCTTTCTTTTGGGTGAAAGAAATGTTGGCTCTGTTTCCCTTCACAGAGGTTTAGCTGTTGTGTGAGGTGAGGACAAGGTCCTGGGCCACTGAAGGCATCAGCCAAGATGCCCAGATTTTCCTGTGGTATCTTTCCTTCCTTGTTTCACAGTTAGAAATGGCTCCTATCTCTTCCTTTATAATGTTAAGGGTTTTGCTACAGACTGTGGCAATGATACTAGGCAGAATCTACGTTTGGCCCACCCATCAGAGGTGCAGTTCAGAACAATGTGGTTTCCCTTTGTTCTTAGAGGAGCCATTCCCACCCCCACCCCAACAGCTGTAGGCACGTGATGCACTACAGCTCTCCCCATTTCCCACTCCCCTCCTGGCTTGGGTACTTGGGCATGTCCACAGCGTGCATGAGCCACACCCAGTGGCCACGAGGGGTGGGAGAGAACCACAGCTGCTGCCAAGGCCCTGCACAGCAAGATGTCTGGCATCTTCTGCTTGCCGTCCCCTCCTGCCATGAACCTGTGACCACAGAGCCTTTTTTCCCATGGTTGAAGGATCCTTACTTGTCTAAACCAGGGAAGGAATACAGTAATTGAAGAAACCCAATTGCACAGAGCAAGAGACTCTCCCCCATCTCCCATCCTTTCGTACTTTAAGTTTTTTTTTTTTTTTTCCCTAAGGGAGATAATTCTTTTCCTCAGCGTTCTGCTTATAATAAGGAAAATAATGGAGGAGCCCCCCTTCTGGCTGATAACTGCAAATTTGGCAGGGCGCATCTGGAACTTAATCTAAATGAATTCATGAACCCCCGAGACAATTTTTTGTCCCAAACTCAATTCTAAACTTCACATTGCAGCCCTAGAAAGGAAAACCAGATCTGAGGGACCCAAAGCCCGGCAACAGGCACGGTGTAAATGGGCAAGACTGATTCCTGCCAATTAAGCCCCCACTTCCTGGCAGGGGCCATTCTCCACGGCATAGATGAGGCCAGGGGAACTCAAATGTTGTCAGTAGTATGGGGGATGGAAGCATAGGTGAGTGTGGATAATTCCTATTCTCTAGGCCCTCCCTGATTCATGGGTGCAATCCACATTGACACCCATGGGTGGCACCTGCCGGGGTGGCTGGGACTCAGGGATAAAAGACAGAAGAGAAAGGGGACACCCACTTTCTCTCTCCCTCATACCCCAGGTTATCACTGAAAGAAGGAAGAGAATGAGGGACGCCTATTCCCCATCTTTCAGAATGAGCAACCAGCGATCTCCACCATCATCAGTTTATACTCCTCTGGAGTGCAGCCTGAAGTCACTGGGACTGCTTTGATCCTCAGACTCTAAAGGAACAAAGCTTTGTAGCCCTCTGCACAAAGGTTTGGCCAAATTATAAAAGATTGGCTTGGCTTCAGGAAGGAACAATTCATTTTGATACTATCTGGCAGTTGGACCTTTTCTGTAAACATGAGGACAAATGGTCTGAGGCCCCATATTTGCAGGCTTTCTTTACCTTGCAGGGCAATCCAGACCTTCACTGACAGTGTAGAATTGATCCAGGTCTCCTGTTTGCCATCTCAGGAGAGGCTGCAAGGGGCAGTCCCAGGGGGACTAAAGAATTGAATCCCAGAGGCACCCCCAGCAGGGGAGCCAGCTGCCTCTCTACCTGCTCCTAAGGGTGAGTACAGATGCAGAAGCTCATCCTCCCTATCCAGATTCTCTCTCTCGATTGGCACCTCCTAGAAATCATCACCCTGGACAAGCCCCAGTCTCAGTCTTACCCCTCCAACAAATGCCTGGTAAATTTGGCCCCAGTAACGTCCAGGTCTCCTTCTCTCTACAGGACTGAAAGCAAATTAAGGGGGATCTTGGGAAGTTTTCAGATGACACTGACAGATATATAGAGGCTTTCCAGAGTTAAGCCCAAGTATCTGAAATCTCTTGGAAAGACATGTTACTTTTTAATCAGACCCTGATGAACACTGAAAAGCAGTCTTCTCTACAAGTGGCAGAGAGATTTGGGGACGAGCTTTGTATCAAATATGGTGTCAGGAAAAAGACTGAACTTTATCCAACTGGAAGAAAAGCAGTACCAGTGGATGACCCTAAATGGGATCCCGATGATGAGATGGGAGAATGGAAGAGGAGACATTTTCAGGTGTGCATAGGATTAAAACTAAGCCTCTCAACTATACCAAGCTATCCATGATAGACCAGAGATTTAAGGAAAATATCACTGCCTTCTAGGAGAGGCTAAGAGAGGCCTTGGTAAAGCACACCACTCTATCTCCTGATTCCTTTGAGGGACAACTAATCCTACAGGATAAATTTATTACTCAGGGAGCCTCTGATATAAGGAGGAAGTTGTAGAAATGGACCCTGGGACCAGGTAGTACTTTAGAGGACTTCCTGAAAGTGGACACCTCAGTGTTTTACAATAGAAATAAAGAGATACAAGAAAGAGGCAGAAGCTTTAATAGCCTCTATGCAAACCCACAAACCCCAGAATTCCCAAGGTACCCTGTTAACTGCTACAGATGTGGAAAGAACAGTTATCTCTCTTCTACTCAGGGTACAATGTTGTTAGTATATTTTACTTCTTATTTCTGCAATCATTGGCACTAGATTCTTTCTCTGTATAATACACATGTTTAACCCATCTATACTTAACCTTATAAAACTTGTTTGTTTTTGGCCGAGCATGGTGGTTCATGCCTGTAATCCCAGCACTTTGGGAGACTGAGAAGGGCAGATTACCTGAGGTCAGGAGTTTGAGACCACCCTGGCCAACATGACAAAACCGCGTCTCTACTAAAAATACAAAAATTAGCTGGGTGTGGTGGTGGGTGCCTGAAATCCTAGCTACTCGGGAGGCTTAGGTAGGAGAATTGCTTGAACCTGGGAAGGCGAGGTTGCAATGAGCCGAGATTGTGCCACTGCACTCCAGCCTGGGGGACAGTGTGAGACTGCATCTCAAAACAAAACAAAACATATATATATTTTTTTCCTCTCTCTTGCCTAGAGGCCATCAAACTCCAAATGGTCAGGCAACCAGAGCCTTGGATGATGGCTCCCTTTTGCCAGAGACCCTTGGGTAGACCTCTGGGAGGAATCTGACTTCTGTTTCCCCAAAACAATGCCCCTGTCAGCAAGAAATTGCTAAGATTGGTCATCGTCCATATTCTAATTTATTTCCCCCTCAGAGGGGGGAAATGATACGAACAGGAGGCAGGGAAATACCAGGTAGAAAAGGGAGGGTTCACTGGTGAGGGTTCCACCTTCAAGCTTCGACCCTAAATGAGAACTTCACATCCCTGTTTTCCCACCTGAATATCACCTTTTAG
The DNA here is from genome assembly GCF_000001405.40 of Homo sapiens. Taxonomy (NCBI): domain Eukaryota; kingdom Metazoa; phylum Chordata; class Mammalia; order Primates; family Hominidae; genus Homo; species Homo sapiens. Next base: position 95,259,611 of record NC_000006.12, on the reverse strand, counting down.
CCTGCCATGCCCTGTATCCTGTGCCCATAAGAACCCCAGACCACAGACTCAGGCGACATACACACACAGAAGAGAGAAGTGTCTCAACATCTAGAGGAGAAGAAGCAGCTGGATATTAGAAACTATGGTTGGAGAGGAGTTTTGCTAAGTATGGTTAGGGAGCAGTTTGGCCTGGGACAGCCAAACTCCAGGGGAAGACCACCTTCTGTCTCAGCCCCCTTTCCAGCTCCCCATCCCACTATGAACCACTTCCTTCACTCAATAAAATCTCTGCATTCACCATGTCCCAAGTCTGTGTAACCTCATTCGTCTTGGGCATTGGACAAAATTTGAGACATGCAATATGCAGCAACCCAAAAAGGCTATCACATTGTCCATTTGCCCTCGTTGGCAAAGGGCAGCCACCCCACATGACGAGACAAAAGGCCCACTGAGCTTGTAACACACTCTCTGGGGCTCCAGGGGTCACAGATACACCCTCCTGCATGGCAGAGCTAAAAGAGCATTGTAATATGCTGGGATGCTACTGTGGGGCCCACAAAATGCCTGCTTTTGCCGGAGAGAAGAGGCCGGTGGTTCCAGCTTTCGTTCACTCTGGTCCCTGCTCCTGTCCACTTGTGTGCTCCTTCTCATAAGGGGTTGAATAAAGGAGCTACCCCTGTTGCAAGTCTTGCAAAGGGGTCAAGGGAAGTCTTCCGTTTCAATATTAAAGTGAATGTCAGAAGGTAAATGTCACCTTCATAATACAGATACTCAAAATAGATATTTTTGAATTATTCTTCTTACTTCCTGATCTCATTTTAAAATATCTAATGTATTACATATTTTTGACAATTTTATGCACCCAACATTTCTTGACTAGGTACGGTTGTTTGCATTTCTACTGGCATCACTCTAACTCAAGACGCTATATTTTTTTTTCTAGACTTCTCTTTGGTTTCCTTGTTTTATTCTTGTCTTCAAATAAGCTATTATTCACAAATTTCAAAATGGTACTTTCCAATTGTACATTTAGTCATATTATCACTTTATTAATAACCAACTTCCATACTGTTCAATTGGGTTTTTGTAGCATACAGATTTGAATACCACCCTAACTTTATTTCCAAACCTTCTCTCCCTAACTCACTTCTACAGTAACATTGTCCCTCTTGCAGTTCCTTGAACTTACAAATGGACTGCCTATTCCAGGCATTCACACATGCTAGGAGCTCTCTGGAATGTTCTTTACCTGCCTGACTTCTAATTAAAGGCCAGATCTCAGCTTAAATTTTGCGCCTAAGACGCATGATCCAATTCTCTAGTTTAAACTTACAAAACGTTGCTTAATTCCTATAGGTGATTTTTCAAGTTATTTTTATTTGTGCTCTTATTTGTGCATTTATATATTTATTCATTTATTTATTTTAGTTTTGTCTTTCCCACTAAAGTGTAAGTTTCACAAGAACACAGCTTGAGTGTATTTTTTTTTTAGCATTGTATACCTAGCATTTGTCATAGAGCCTAGTAAATATTAGGTACAGCGGCCCTCCTTTTCTGCATGTCATATATTCAAGACCCCAGTAGATGCTTGAAACTATGGATAGTACCATACCATATATATACTATGATTTATCTTATATATACATAAATACAATAAAGTTTAATTTATAAATTAGGTTCAGCAAAAAATAAACAACAAAAACTTAAAACTATAATTATAACAATATATTGTAATAAAAGTTATATGAATGTGCTTGCTTCCTCTCTCTCTCTCTCTCTCAAAATATCTTATTGTACTGTGTTCACCTACTTTCAGAGCACAGTTGACTCTGAATAACTGAAACCATGGCTAAAGTGGGACTATTGCATTTAATTATTATTTGTTGAACAAATAAATAGATTGAATGGATGAACAACTGAAATAAACTTTGCTTCTTTGTTTAAATATCACAAAACAGCATATGATAATGCATCTATGCCATGTGTTACATCATATAAAGCCAATAATACGTAAAATTTAAGAATTCTAAATTTATTGTAGTAAATTAATGTAACCTTATTATAAATTGCTCAGAGTTATCCATTTACAAAATAAGCTATAAATGTGAAAATGAAAGCAATGGGAACTGATTCTAATTTTAGAGGAGAACATTTTGAATGAGAATATTAAAATTTGCAAGGACATTTATTTTCAATTTTTATCAAGATGACTAACTGGCAATATGCGGTTTTGCTTTGTGTATGAAGGTGTAGTTGGTAGATTCAATTTATGCGCTGGAATGAGTACATCATATACTAAAAAATGTTGAATCCAATTCCTCTCATTTCTCAATCTAAGCCCAGAATATGTTGTAATAGAGTCAGGATCTGCTTAATGACACTGTGACTTCAGTTTTATAAGTTATAAATTTTCATCCTGGCTCCTGTGTAAGGTAGTGCACCCTACTTAGTAACTGAAGATTCTAAGGACAGAATTATTAAAAGGATTTTGCAAGGTGGCAGGTTCAAGGTTGGCTTTCACGGGAATCTGATTCCAATTCACATACTTTGGTCCACTAAGCCATTCTGCCTTTTCTTACAAGGATCCCTGAAGCCATATATTTAAGTCCTAAACTGAAGTTAAATGTCCCAAGGAATTTTCTGGGCTTTATATTTTAACCTTTCTATGTTTTCAAGCTGAAATTACTAAACTTGATTTTGTGTCAGAAAAGGCCAAGTGGGTACCTGTAAGGTTTTACATTTTTTGTAGGTAACAAGAGGTCTGGTGGGAGGCAGCTATTTGAAGAATTTTTGTTAGCTTTCTCTTATTAAAACAAGCCCCTCACTAAGAAAGTTCAGATGTTTTGCAAAAATTGGAAGCCTAGCTATCTTGAAAATGTGAAATTAGGAAGACACATTAAAGGCATTAACCATTTATATGAGCCTATTAATGACATACATTTATCTTCATGTTTCAGAAGAACATCGGGCACATTCTGTGTAATTTAAAAGTGTAGTATCAACCGGGCATGGTGGCGGGCACCTGTAATTCCACCACTTTGGGAGGATGAGGTGGGTAGATCACGAGTTCAGGAGTTCGAGACCAGCCTGGCCAAGGTGGTGAAACCCCATGTCTACTAAAAATACAAAAATTAGCCTGGCACGGTGGCAGGTGCCTGTAATCCCACTTACTGGGGAGGCTGAAGCAGGAGAGTCACTTGAACCCCGGGGGTGGAGGTTGCAGTGAGCTGAGATTATGCCACTGAACTCCAGCCTGGGTGACAGAGTGAGACTTCGTCTCAAAAAAAAAAAAAAAAAAAAAAAAGTAAAGAAAAAGTGTAGTATGTTTCATGATCTTTCCTGTTCTTTCCTTTTTGGGTTTCTGCAGTTTATCCTCTGATAGTCAGAAATGGGGCTAAGAGAGAAAAATGTTACCTACTAAAGAGCTATGTCCATTAGTTACAGGAGTGGTTGGAGAGCTCCATGATATGCCTTTTTCAAATTTCACTGTAATTTTATTGATTTTAATCCTTAGGCAAAAAAATATATATTTTCTCTATCATTGCAGATTGGGTTATGCATTGGCAACATGGTGTCACTATTTTTAGCAAAAATTAGAAAAGTTACCTGGTCTACTAAGAGTCCTTTATCTTGTGTTTTGAGATTTATTCACAATCAAATGTCCTGCCCGCTAATAATGAAGTATTTCCCCCCCGCCATTGTCACAGCCAGGCTTTTGATAGAGTTGTTGACATAAAAATATAAATTCCCAGATATTTAGGTTATCTCAACAGCCCTTCCTGTTTGAACGTTCAAAAAAAAGTCTTTGTTATCACAGGGTGATCTTTGAGTCACATCTATCCAAGGCAAATGCCTGGTATTTTCTATTTTATACACACTCTGTATACTTGATATTTGGCAGTAAAATGTAATAACATATTTTACCTGACACTGGGGAATTTTCTAATTGTTATGATTTTTCCCTTTTGCTTCAAATTTAACTAAAGAATTCTGAAGAAAACTACTTCCATCACATTTTTTACATTTTATACATCTTCAGAGTTGGTCTGTTTAGCTTTTCTTAAGGGAAAATTCAATAAAAGTCCAAATACCCCATTAACATTTTATTAAGTAGTCATGATTGTTTCTGTGACTGCAGGAGAGAAAAAGGAGAGAGAATTTTGAAACGTATTGGTGAATATGGGACAGCTGTCAACCTATATATCAAATGTTATAAAATAATTTTATCTGACCTGGACTGAGACATTGAGTAGAATGTTCACAGATACTGGCAAGTATCATGAAGTCAATAAAGCGTCCCAAGATTTGGCAAAATAAGCTTGTTTTATGTTCTTTACATCACAGTAATCAATATCACGACCATCTCCCGCATCTCTACCAGCATCGTGACTCCTGCTACTATTATTAATCATTTAATAATAATAGTACTACTATGACTACCAACACCCTAATTATTTTACATACAGTATATTTTGCTCATTTATGCCTCACACATATTGTGTAGCTGGAAATTTCATTGTTTGCATTTCTCAGACATAGTAACTTAGAGAAGTTAAGTAACTTGTCCACCAAATTTAGAGTTTCAAGGTTAACCTAAGTCTGCCTGACATTTAAGGCTGTTTTAATCATTGAATTGTATGACGTCCCAAGTTCCAAGAGGCCAGAGTTATAAAACGGCGTGGGAAGATCCTGATAGTAGAAAAAATAAACATGAAAATGCTTTCCTTAAATCTTGCTTGTAAGGATCAGTTAGAAAGGTGGAATCTGATGCCCCATCCAAGCCTTCTGATGCAAAATCTGCATTTTAACAAAACCCTTGGATGAATTGTAAAGTTTGAGTGGAAATATTCTATCTTTTTCAGAGAATATTATGAATAATAGAGTCAAAATCTTTAGTAAAATCTAGGGTTTCTATATCTACATGATTTTCTCAACATAACAGGACATAAGCAATTTATTTATTCATAATTTATTTATTCAATATTTCTTTATTCTCTATAGATTTGTCTTGTGCAAGATATAAACATTGTACAAGATACTAAGATTTTATTATATTCAGTAACATTTTATTCTAGTCAAGGAGAAAAATATGAGCAATAAATAATTATTTATAGTATATAATAAACACCATCAAGAAAATAAAGTTTAGATGTAGGGAATATTTTAGAAATCAGGAAATTTATTAAAATATTCATAAAGGAGGTATTTTCTATCTACAAATAAATATTTTTGGAAAAATATTTTCTTGGTGTGTTTATTCCTATAATGGTATTCACTGTTTTCTATGCTTTATTAGCACACTTAGTCATAATGAGGAAGGTTTATTTTGAAATGCATTTTCAGCTCTGTGGAAATTAGAATTGCATTTAACCTCCGCTAATGTGATGCCTCTCTTGCCGTTCACTCTTATTTTGTATCTTTTTGTTGTGATTTGTTTTTATAGACTGCTGTTGCTATGTTGCTCAGGCTGGCCTCTAGCTCCTAGGCTGAAGGGACTCTCCCCATCCTCCTGCCTCAGCCTCCCAAGTAGCTGGAACTGTAGGTAGGTACCACACTGCCTGCATGAACCTTTTTTCTAGAGATAATGTCTACTTAAAATTCATTTGTAATTATACTCAGAATATATTTTTTTCAGTTTTCAAAAATTTAAATAATCTAGGGAGTCAAACATTGACTTTCCATTTCATCTTGTGAAATAACAAGAAATTCAAATAGGGAAACAGAGAGAGATTACACTCAAAAACCTAAGTGTTTAGTTCTTAGAACTTCAAATTTTGTAAAAATTTTAGATTGAATAGCAATAGTCAGTACTTGGTGAATTCGATGATACTCTAGATTGTCTTTCACACATCTGTGTATTCTCAAATAAGAAACTCAATATCTGCATAACCATCCCAAGTCTCTTCTTCAAATAATTTATGAAACAATGAGAAAAAATGAGTGTTGTAATTTCGAACAATATATTTCTAAATGATAAAATATGGATTTTTAGAATTTAGCAATTACATTAAAAATGAGTGGTAGAGTTAGATGCACACAGAAGTTTAACCTTCATGGAGGAAACTGACCTTGATCTTTTCCTTTCAGAATTCATAAGGTTTATTTTACTACTTCATACCCAAAAGGGGTATTTTCATTCAATCATTGTTTCTTCATATATTAGATGAAATATTTCTATTAAGAGATAATTTCTTCATCTAGTCAGATAGTATTTGGTTACCCAGTGGAGTGATTAGTGTAAGATGGGATAAATGATTGATTCTTTCTTTTTTTATTTTAATAATTTCAAAATAAATAATGAAAAATTTCAATGGTAAACAATCGGTGGATGGAGTTCCTTTTTTGTTTTATTTTGTTTTGTTTTTTAGTCTCATTACAAACTCATGTTAGATGTTTGGTATGTTTCAACCTATTGCAGTTAATTCTCAAACTTTCTAAATCCAAGTGAAATCTTTTTCAGGATTATTTCTGAGTAGTTTCAATACAGCATTCAAAATATCTTTGAAAGATTCCTTGCTCTCTGATATGAAAATATTGTCCATTTCATCTTGAAGTTCTCCTGCCACAGTCTTTTCTCCAAGAAGCCCTGGTTCCTTCCAGTAAGAATGTGTGTGTGTGTTTGTGTGTGTGTGTGTGTGTGTGAGAGAGAGAGAGAGAAATGGAGAGAATATCTATAGAAAGATACACATGTTTTATGATCAAATCTAGATTCATTGTAAATGGTTGGTCATTGTTGCTGTTTTTTAATTGAAATAGATAAGAAACATGCTTATTTTGAGGAAGATATTTTCTTAAATATATTTTTATTAAAATATCTCATTAATTTACACCACTACATTGAATTCAAATTCAAGACCTCCAGGGTTTTTATTTTAAACTCCTTCCTACTAATTATTTTTCTGTTATGTCTATGCTAAGAATTCCAGTTCTCAATAACACTGAGATTGTAGGAATTCAAATAAAAAATAATTACTCATTTGCTTTTATCCCACATTACACATGTAAGTATGTCAGTATTAAAATACCAACACTAGGCCTGGCACAGTGGCCCATGCCTGTAATCCCAGCGCTTTGGGAGGCTGAGGTGGGAGGATCACTTGAGACTAGGAGTTTGAGACTAGCCTGGGCAACATAGTGAGACCCCATCTCTACCAAAAAAAAAATAGCTGACATGGTGCTGCATGCTTGCATTCCCAGCTATTTGGGGGGCTGAGGTAGGAGGATCACTTAAACCTGGGAGGTAGAGGCTGCAATGAGCCATGATCCATGATCGTGCCACTGCATGCCAGCCTGGGCAACAGAGTGAGACTAAAACAAAACACTAAAACAAAAATATGAGTGCTTAAATGTTTGAATTTTCTTTTGTAGATTTTAAAACAGCCTTATTGAGGTATAATTAACATACAAAGAACTGCACATATTTGATGTGCACAATCATAAGCAAACCTTCACGATAACCATTACCACAATCAAGGTAATAGTTTTGTCCTTAACACATATCCCTCTGGGGGATTACTATGCCTTAAAGTCACTTTTAATATTTCACCTCTTTATACCACCAACTGAAAACACAGTTAGGTTCATTTGTTTATTGCTTATTTTTGTAAATTTATTTTAAGGAATGTAGTTGCGTTGCAAAGGTACATGGAAAAATGTTGATCCGTTTCCAGAGGCACATCTCCAAAACAAGGCATAGGCAAAGAAGTCCCGTTTCTGAGCTAGTTCCTCTACCCTATTTCCTCCCTCCTCTTAGGGGCAATAGTTCCACATCCCCTTTAATGTTTACATTGTTCTTCAATTGTGTATTAATCTTTCTGTTCTTAATATAGATAGATCTTTCTTTTATTTTATTTATTTATTTTTTTGAGATGGAATCTCACTCTGTCGCCCAGGCTGGAGTGCAGTGGCGTGATCTTGGCTCACTGCAACCTCTGCTGCCTCAGCCTCCCGAGTTGCTGGGATTACAGGTGCCTGCCACCAAGCCCAGATACTTTTTGTATTTTTAGTAGAGATGGGGTTTCACCATGTTGGCCAAGCTGGTCTCGAACTCCTGACCTCAAGTGATCCACCCACCTCAGCCTCTGAAAGTGATGGGATTACAGGCATGAGCCACTGCACCCGGCTCTTTTTAACTTTTTTGGTATCTAGGTAGGCTCATTAATTTTTGTTCTTGTGGTTACCTTCATACTAAGTACCTTTCCTTAGCACCCTTAATCCTCCTTTTTTGATGATGGTCTATTGGTTCCCTATTGTAAGTAATAATGAAATTAGCTACTAAATTCTTCCGCATCCTCTCTTCCCCAGCATCTGATCTGAAGCAATTCAGTTTAATTCACAATTAATAAATATAAGGTCATCAGCAAGCATATTCTGTTCTCTATTTAAAGTCTAATAATGTTCACATTAATATAGCTTTAATTCTGAATCAAACCCATTCCTTAAATATTCTCCAATTTTTCTTTCTTCATTTCCTAGAAATCATAAGTTTGGAATATTTTAAAATATTATTTCCTGAATATACCATATGTTCAACTTTGAATCATGTTTATTGAATATATTATCTAATTTTAGTTTCATACTTTAATGAAGTGATTAAATGAATTTGTTATAAATTAATATTTTACCCCATCTCATATTTCAACTTCTGGAAGACTTTGAAATAGTTACGGAATATAGGGGTTGACTTTTTCTACCAATGCATCAAGGCAGTAGAGCTCAAAATCAAGTCGATATAAGAATCACAGCAGATAGGAAATGAACAATTGTCGGGCTTTATAAGAGAATGAATATTATGGATATTTGAAGGTTTGATAGAATCAATAGTCACTTACTACCCTAAAATAATTTTCCCAGTTCCCAGACATATTTTTAAAAATTCCTCTATAGATAAAATAAAAACCTAGATGGATTCTCTACTTGTTATTGTTAATAATTTTGTACTTGCAAATGACAGAAAAACCTTGCAAAATTTTCTTGTATGGAGAATATTTTAATTACATAAGTTTCTTATTTCCAACCTTTGTTTAAATGCCTACATATAGATATGTTTTATTTTAATATATATTTTGCATCAAATAAGATTGATTTATTAATTTAAAAATATTTATTGAGCCCCTTTTTGGTAAAGTAGGTGTTAAGTTAAACTAACTCAGAAGATTAAGACAAGAGCAATAGTAATTAAAATTATGCTTGGATTTGACAAAATATTTGTACCCCTTAGTAGATTACAGTTACTCCACAGGCTACAGAAAGTAGAAGTTTCCACAACCCAAGCCCCATTTTTAAAATTCTGATAAAAATAAGCAGCATGCATACCATCCTTAAGATTGATAAAATAAATAATGGAAGGATCAAAATGCAAGTGGGTTACCTGCCTGCTACTTGGAACTATAAGGACAGATACATTCCTTTTTTCCCTTTTCACTAAGTATATCATACTTTCATAACTATGAGTAGGAGTGCAGCTTGGAACTTCAGCTTTGTGAACTTTCTTACACCACATACTCCTCATTCTGTCAGTTATAGGAGAAAATGTATTTACAGAAACATATTTATTGAGCACCTCTTATGTATCAGTCACTACTATAGGCACTTGTATTAAAACAATAAGCCAGATACGATGCAAGCCTTCTGATACCTTCCAGAAGAGACTTGCAAACAGACACTTGTAATGCAAAGAAGAACGTGATAAGTGAACTTTTCTTATAGAAGATTAGATTATAAAGCAATCAAAGATATGGGAAGTGAAACTCCAGACACCTGGCTGTGCTTAAGTATTCCTATAATATACTTTGATTTTATGGCATAAAATCAAATCTTAAAATGCAAAATATAAGGTCTGTAACCCCTACTTGGCAATTGTGTATCTGTGAGAATAATACTGTGTTGGCAAGGAGAAAAATAAGTATATTATTTCACCTTAAATGTTGTATTTCTGGCCAAGAATTCAAATATATCATGAAACAAAAGATCTAGAAATCATAATACAAGCATTACTCTGGCAATCAAAAACTCACATAATAGCTTTTAGAAAGTTTAGATTTTGTGCAAATACATTTTATCTTCTTTGCAGTTCTGATGAATTGTGAATTATATTTGTTTGAAATATGCCATAATTTAGACATAAGAAAATCTTTCAAAACTGTGATATATAATACACATGCACTTTTAAAGAAACATTTGAATATATTAATATAGTGCTATGCTGTACTTCACAATTTTGCTGAGTCATAAACATAAGTATTAACTTGGATTTCAGCAGTATAAGGAAATCAGTGAACACCATTTCACAATCCTGGTTAAGAGTTTCAACATCTATGCATATATTTGTTAAGTATTATTTTTGTGGTTAAATTTATTTAAAAGATACTAAAAAATGCCACAGATTTCTACTGGGAAATCTCTAATAATTTTAATTAGGTGAATTAGTTTATATGTGTATATTTATATGATAGCAAAGCATTTGTTTATGTACTTCCATGAACTTAATAACTATCTAAAACATCTACCTACCTTATAGATTAGGACATATGTTTCATTTTGTATGTACATATGGACTGATGGAGTCATAAAATAACAAGGTTAAGGGAGATCTCAACATTTAATTGAATTATTTTTGTGAGCTATGACAGACAATTTGCCATTTGATAGCTATTACACAATTTAACATATTTTTCTGCATTTGGTTGTATCGGGGTAAATTTATAGCTAAAAGTATGTATTTTGGGGGCATAAATACAGTGGTATCGGTTTAGCGGTTTAGTAATTACACAGCTGAATCTAGCACAGAGCAGGCCTGTAATTAAATTTTATCTACTTCATAATACGACGCTTACTACATATATTTGAAATATGTAAACATCTGAATGTTAGATATTTTAAAGAAGCTGTAGCTTTACTTCAGGATACAAGGTGGTGCTGTTTCATTTTACAAACAAAAACTGCTGCTGCAAAAAGCTAGCACAGCTAGAATGAGGACATCACATCTTATAAAGAGAGCAACACTACAGAAGACAATTCCATAGCTCTACTTGCCAGTTATGATTTTGTTTAATGGAAAAATAGATAAATTATATCTATATACAGTGCACAATGTAACTACAGAGCAATAACAATATTCAACCAAGGATGAAATGTTCATTTTTTTAGTAGTTTACCGAATTCTGTGGCCTGCAGTATCAGGAAGAAGCTGGCAAAGGCCTTGGCCTTAAGGGAATAAAATACATGCCTTGTGAAAAATAAGTGAAAGTTAAAAATTATTACTAGTTTTTTTTTTGACTTTCATTTTACTGGTTTTGTAAAGGAAAATCCAAGCTCATCTTTTATTTCTAAATCTACTGACCTGTGATATTAATGAAGACCAAAAATTCTATTACCTTCTATCTATTCAAATGCTAATCACCATTGTCAACTGACTGTGTGAATTGAAGTGCTAGGAGAAGTGAAGCTTTTTTTCCATATTAACTTTTCTTTATATTTATTATTACTTGGCACAGAGAATATAAATAAGAACTCAAGCTCCTGTGTGGCATCAATCAAGTTAAATAACCTTTCTGAGCCTAATTTTTATTACATTTTAAAGAGATGCTCAATGCTAACATTTTCACTGTAGTTTGTTGAGGTGATTTTCAGGTTTGTAAAACAAATTGAGAAGTTTTTTTTTTTTTAATCACAGATGTATTTGTCTACTGAAAATTGGCGATTTAGAGAAATTTGGATGTTTTGTGTATGTTGATATCCCCAGTAAATGTTTTGCAAAAATGATTGACATCTTTAACAATTTTATCTGGTGTTTCTTTATGCCTCAACCTATTTATCTTATATGTGTTGACTACCAAAAAGAAAACTCTGAAGCTCTGCTGAGGATTTGTGAAATATTATATGCTCTACTAATATTTTTAACTCAGACTTTTACCCTGACACATCAGTTATTTAAATGCCACTTCAAAAATGGCATTAATGCTAATTTGCTTTTCTTTTTTATACTTTCATATTTTCTTTACTAAAAGCTGACTTGTATTTTTCAATAATAGGGAGAAAGGAATTGTACTATTTACTTATTTGAGTATAAAATAGACATTTAAATAATACTTTATACTTGGCTTTACTGACAACATAAACAGTAGACTCCTTTATTGATGATATTATATATATGCTGTTATTTATTCTACAGAATAAAAAACATCACTAATATAATCTTGAAAATAGGTTTATGCCAGAAAGATTTAAGTGAATGAAGATAAATAAGGCAAGGTAGTTCACTTAGCAAAAAAAACAAATAATAGAAATGTTTAATATACAGTAACTAGGCTGAGCCTGCTGAAAGATCACATAACCTCTGATTTTCTAATTTTTTTTTTTACTTTTTCCATAAGAATTAATGTCTAGACACCATAACACAAATATTAGAGATTTCTCTTTTTAGAAGAGCATCTAATATCTTAAGAGGCATTATTGTGTTGGGATACAAATTATATATTTTAATCACATAGAACCCTGGATTTGAATAGGTATGCAGCTTGTTATGTGGTCTTGAGAAAATATACCTCTATATGACTCAGTTCCATATATACGTATGTATATATATGATACAAATAAAATTGGGATAATATCTACTTTCATTTCAGTTTGACAAATGATTATATGAGATGATTTATATTTAGTGCATACTGAATTGTATTACATAATATGTTAAAATAGAATAAACTGGGTTTGGCATATTATGGACATTTTGTACTATCTTGCAAATTTTTTTATAAATTTAAAACAATTCTAAAATAAATATTTCTTACATAAAATTAGAAAAAACCTAATTGACACCATTTATCAATTCATCTGTCAAAATAAACATTTTTCCCATTGGAGTAATACTTACAAAATGATTTAAACATAACAATATTTTTGCTTATAAAAGTAATATAAATTTGTTTTATCAACTTCAGAAAGCAGTAACAAATTGAAGAAAATTTAAGAGCTGAAGTTCCAAGCTGCACCCCTGCTCACAGTTATGATAGTATGGTAACTATCATAACTATCCTAAAATTCTACTTCCAGATAATAACCATTATTAGCATTGTGTCAGATACCCTTTTGTTTCTTATATTTATATAAACACATTTTTAAACAAAAATTTTACCATATACCTGCTGTTTCATTTTGTGTACACTTTTCACCTAACAAACAATGGATCAATGTCTACCCATGATACTAAACTTTCCTTTATCACAAGAATAGAAAATAGTTTAGTTTTAATCCTAATGCTGACTTTAATCTATTAGAAGTGCTTGGTTGAGAAGCAACCAGGAGCCATGTCTTGAGTCACTGGGAAAGACTGACATAATTGGGCAATAATGTCTACCATAGACTTGAGGGGATACTCTTGCAGTATGTGCCATAAATATCTTGTCCCATATCTATATTGTTTTACCTGGTTGTATTCATATTTTAAAAAATAAACAGAAATATCAAGAACAACATAAAGAATCCTCAAATGTAGGCCGGGCACAGTGGCTCACACCTGTAATCCCAGCACTTTGGGAGGAGGAGGCGGGCAGATCACAAGGTCAGGAGTTTGAGACCAGCCTGGCTAATATGGTGAAATGCCATCTCTATTAAAAACACAAAAATTAGCCCGGTGGGGTGGCGGGCGCCTGTAATCCCAGCTACTCGGGAGGCTGAGGTAGAAGAACCGCTTGAACCCGGGAGGCGGAGGTTGCAGTGAGCCGAGATCGTGCCACTACACTCCAGGCTGGGCCACAGAATGAGACTCTGTCTTAAAAAAAAAAAAAAAAAAAAAAAAAAAATCCTCAAATGTTACTATTTTCCATATTTGCTCACTTTTTTGCTGAATTAATTTATATTAACACAGACATAAATTTTACCTCTAAGTTTTTCAATATTCATCTTCAAACACGCAGTTATTTACCTATATAACCACAATCCTGTTTTCTACAAATTATTTAAAAACTTCTTGGCTGGGCTTGGTGGCTCAGACCTGTGTTTCCAGCAGGTTTGGAGACCGACGTGGGTGGATCACTTGAGGCCAGGTGTTTGAGACCAGCTTTGGCCATGGTGAAACACATCTTTACAAAACATATAAAAATTAGTTGGCTGTGATAGGGTGTTCCTATACTCCCAGCTACTTGGGAGGCTGAGGAGGGATTGCCTGAGTCTGGGTGGTTGAGGCTGCAGTGAACTGAACTTGTGGCACTGTACTCCAGCCTGGGTGACAGAGTGAGACCCTGTCTCTGATAAATAAATAGATATAAATTACAAGCAATACAATAAAATAAAAATTCCCTAATATCATTTATTACTCCTAGTCCTTCTCCTAATTTCTTAAATTGTTCCCAAAATATATCTTACAGTTAAATTTGCTAAAAATAGGATCTAATTAAGAACTATGGGTATTTTTGTTGGTGTGTCTCATATGTCTCTTTCAACATAGTACAGTCTTATTATTTTTGTTTTCTTATAAAATTTTGAAGAGACTAGATAGATCTATAAGCATCTCACCTTCTAGATGTGTCTGTGTCCTCAAGATATCATTTAACTTGTTCCTTCATCACTTTTATTACTGTAAACTATATTAGATATGAAGATGAATCAGAGTCAGAGTAAATATGTTGAGGAATAGTATTTACTGGGTGGTGTTTCGTGTTTCTTGTTGCATCACACCAAGAAGTACATAATGTCACATTTTCCCACTATTAGTGATGTTGAGATTAGTCACCAGGGTTAGATGACAGACAGATCTTGCTAAGGTAAGGTTATACGTGTGTGTTTATATTTTTATATTTTCTCAAAGAATTTTGCTGCTTTGCTTTTTAGGTTTTGCCAGAAGTCCTAATTGTATATTTATTTGGGTGTTTATTTTTAAAGAAATTCCTTTTTATTCAAAATTCATATGTACTCATTGCAACAAATGCAGAAACCATCAAAGAAAATTCACCATATAGTTGAAGGATGGTGCCAAAGGATATGCTGGTTTAATATTTCCAGGCCAGTTCTTTTCTCAGACTTTCTTCCAATAGTCTCGATTCTCTAGAACTAAAGTTATAAACAATTTATTTAAAATTATGTAGGTGTTGCTTTGAACTTTGAGCACAAGTATTTAGTTGGTTATAATAAAGTGGAATGATGTAGAAAGTAAATAACCTGAGCCCTGGGGAGGGGTGGGGGGAAATTTACACGTGTAATGAACTCTCATATGTTGAATAGCACTGTGGTATCTTTAGGTAACCAATATGAGATCCTACTTCTGTCCTGTATTATCCAGGGTTCCCCAGAGAAACAGAATTAATAGGACATATAGAGATGTACAGAAATAAGTTTATTATTAGTGATTGGTTCACATAAATATGCAGGCTAGGCAGTTCACCAATCTACTGTCTGCAATCTGGCAATCCAAAACATCCGGTGGTATAGTTCCATTCCAGACATGAAGGCCGGAGAACCAAGAGCACTGATTTCCAAAAGCAGAAGATGGATGTCTCAGCTCAAACAGAAAGAGCAGATTTGTCCTTTCTCTGCCTTTTTGTTTTATTCAGGCCCTCAAAGGATTGAATGATGCCCACCCACTTTGGTGAAGGTGATCTTTCCTCAGACTGCTGATTTACATGCTAATCTCTTTAATCACAGGCACATCCAAAAATAATGTTTTACCAGTTATCCGGCATCCTTTAGCCCAGTCTAGTTTATTAACCATTATATGTGGTCAAGATTAACCATTATATGTGGCATTCAGTAGCACTGGCCAATTCCAATGCCCGTGTGAGACTATGGAACATGTCTTCTGGCTATGGGCATCATTCCTACTTCCTTGAGCCTGCTCACTGCAGAGATGGAGGGAAGCTTCAAAAATAAGTAACCATGAAATGTGTGCATATGAGTATTCCTTGTCATTACACAGAATTAAAAGCATTAGAATCTGAGTCACATTCTAATCAATTCTCTAACTTGAAAGATAGAACTTGGCCATCATTACCACAATCGTCCTGAAATAGCTATCATTAACATTAGGTGATGCCATCCCATACATTAAATACTTTCCCACCCTAAGCAGAAACATGAATTAAATAATGGATAGATTGAATATATGACACATTATTTTATTAAAATGAGATGATAATATATAAACTCAATGAATGTTAGATTTAATTTATTTGACTAAACAGGAGAAAAATAAACAAGAAAAACTGAAGGATCTGATGAACTTCAGATAAATGTTTCTTCATCACAGGATATGTTATTTGATAAGGATAGGGGTTTATGAGCACATTATGAGGTTGAGTCATTATGTGTATTTTTTTTCATCTAGTTTCAGTTTTTACAGTATCAATTTACTCTTGCTGTAAATGATGAGGTAATTAGCTGCAGGATAGGGCTTATTAATAGGCCTATTAACATGACTGCCTCTGACATCTAGGTAAATGATCCATGTTGTTGTTCCAGACCTGGGTTAAGGAACATACTTACATCAGGCTGTGTAAGCCTAGAGAGGGTGATAAATGATATCTGTGCTAATCCTGGGTGTATGAGACCTCACCTTGTTAGTATATTTTATATTATGTAAATTCTAAGATTGATGGGGAGCACTTGGCTCAGAAGAGATGGTCCTGGGCACATATTAAACTCATTTGAATTAACACTGGTCCATGTTTAAGTATAGAAGCTTATGTTTACAAGGAAAGGCTGGGAGGAGGGTAGAAAATATGGAAAGTAGCACACATGCAATCAGAAATTATCACTGACAACTCCTTTTGAAGATTTTGGGGTCTAGATTTTTATCTTTCTACTGGCTCTAAAACATGTTGATTTCTCGTTTATGTACTCTGATATTACTGACTTTCTTCTGCATTCTTCAGATAAGTAAACTCTGTGTCATGGATCTACATGATCTGTGTACTTGGTCTTTCTATTAGTTTGCTCCTACTGTTAACATTGATAATAAAGTGGAAATACATTATAATTTAACACTTCTTTCTTTCTCATAAGAATTTTATAAATTATGTTATTATATTTTATTATTCCAGTTCAGGGCATTTATTTCTCTTCTGTAAGCATCACTGCTATAGTTGTTTTGTGATATATGTGTATATATATGTATGCCTACTCACTTTGGTGAAGGTGATCTTCACTCACCTTTACTCACCTTTAGGAGTAAAGGTCAGCTTTATTCCTAAAGTTGTTTTGTAAGCATTATTCCTATAGTTGTTTTGTATTATAATGTATACATATATACACACAGGTATGTGTATACAAACACACAGATACATATGTATGTATGTATATATGATGCTTAATTTTGATTCTCCTTATGCCAATATTTTCACTGCAGTTTTTATATTTTGTTCATGTGTTGATTGACTTTGTATAACATTTGGGAGTTTTTTTCACAAAGCGATCATAGGGGTTGTATTTCCTTCCTTCCTTCCTTCCTTCCTTCCTTCCTCCCTCCCTCCCTCCTTCCCTTCCCTTCCCCTTCCCTTCCCCTCCCTCCCTCTCCCTCCCCCTCCCTCCCCCTCCCTTCCCCTCCCTTCCTCTCCCCTCCCCTCCCCTGCCCTCCCTTCCCTTCTCTTCCTTTCCTTTGACTGAATCTCACTCTGTTGCACCCAGGCTGGAGTGCACTGGGGTGATCCCAGCTCACTGCAACTTCCACTTCCTTGGTTCAAGCAATTCTCCTGCCTCAGCCTCCCGAGTAGTTGGGATAACAGGAGTGCACCAGGACACCTTGCTAAGATTTTTTTTCGGGTTTTATTAGTAGAGACAGGGTTTCGCCATGTTGGCCAAACTGGCCTCTAACTCCTGACCTCAGGAGATCCACCTGCCTCAGCCTCCAAAAGTGCTGGAATTACAGGTGTGAGCCACCACACCTGGCCAAGAGCTGTATTTTCTTAATAAGTTAATATTTGAGAAAATATCTCTCTTGTTTTGTAATTGAGTTATATTTTGGCCAGTGTCCAAGGAGTCTTTGGTGCCTGTTGATTTCTTTCAGAACTTTGTGTACATAGATTTATTATTTTCTGGTATCGAATGTTATGAAGTCCCATATAAGCCTTATTTTTCTTTCTTCCTTTAAGTATTTTTATTAATCTGCCAGGATGACTAAAAACCCTCTCTTTATTCTCAGGGTTTAATAATACAGTTTGAAGATGACCCACTGTTAACTCTACCATATCAAACTTTTCCTAGAAAATAATGTGCCACACAAGTCTACTGATGCCTTCTTCCTTCATTTCAGGCATCTTTTTTATACCCTGCATAATTGAATAATTTCTCATTCTATGTTATCTGCTTCATAAATTTTCCTGATGTGTTATCTGAATTGCCCAACTATTATCTTCTCTCTAACTGCTTTAATTTATCTGCATTCATTATGGTTATTTCAGGGCTTACTTCAATATCAGAATTTCCATGTCATTTTTTTCTATCCTGTTCCTTTGTTTCTAAATCTACTAGTTCTCCTTTTATTTTGGCAATTTATTCGCTTAACTCTGTAGTACTTTAAAAAAAGTTATTATCTTTTTTAATGTACGTGTTTTTATGTTTCTTTTACTAATTTCATGTTCTTATTTACCTGTTCGACTACACCAAGCTCTCTGGGAAATAACCCATTTGAGCTAATTAGGGGCTTATTAGATCCAATAATAAAGAAAATCTCAAAATATAATTGTTTAAACAAGACATAAGTTTATTTTCCTTTTATTTAATGACTCGGGGTGGATGTCCCAGCTTGACAGGTGGCTCTCCACATTAACATTCAGGGACTTGAAATAAATATGGCTCTGGATCTTCCACACATAGCTTTCAGGTTTGTTTTAGTCTTTGACAGTCCTCTAAGGCAGAAGTTAAAAAAAAAAATACATGTCCCCAGGGAGAGAGATTTTCCCTTTAGCAAGAGAGGCATACATTCCATATGTTATATCTGTTCATTCCATTAGCAATGGCTTAATTATAAACAGATGCCCACAATTGATTGCAAGGGCAATGTGGTCCTTAGCTGGAGTTTCATGTATGGAAGGAAACTGGACCCTGTTGTACAATAGTAGTTTCAATCACACCTTCTATTCTTTGGTTTACATTTTTTTCCTAGACTGAGTAATAATTTTTAAAAATTTGTTAATTTCACAGTATAGTTACATATTTCCTATGTCATTTTGTTTGTTTTTTGTGATATTTAGAGAATTTTGCCCAGCGTTTCTCAGTGTACTAATGTAATTTGTTAAGCATCTCCTTAACTTTCTTCTGAGAACTGTTTAATTGCCTCTCTGAACTAACTTTTACAGACCAAATATTTTATATTGTAACCACATTTTTAAGCCATCACATCTTTAAGCAGGGGAACATGGGAGTAAAGTTAGAAGTAATGACATGAACCTCTAAATTCTGCTCTTTTTGCCCTTTGTCATCACTTTTTGAGGTTTATGGCATCATATAATTCTCTTTTCTTTTTGAGCAATTACAAATATATTCTTATTTTTAAGCTACATTTATATTTCACGGAGTGTTAAGGAAGGATAGTACTTATTAGGCTTTAATAAGAAACCATTATCTTTACCAAGTTTTAGCATAATTAAGTTGTAATGTGCTTTGTTTGTGTGAGTGTGTGTGTGTTTTTGTGTAGTTTATGAGAGTAGATAGGGGCAACTTGTTTCACATTGCAGTATAAATAATACTTAGAATATTGTCTGAATAGTAAATGGTGAAAACATAGCTTCATGTCTCAATCAAACAGTAATATACAAACGGTCACAAACTGGAAGATGCAAGTCCTAATTAGGTATTTTCTTTAAGAAGATTAAATATGTATGCCTTAAGTGAGGCATACCTGAGATTCCACTTCCAAGAGACAATAGAGGCAAATTTTCCACCCATCATCTGCACTTTCAATGAAAAACCAACACCCTCTAGGTAATCTTCATTTCCTATATGGGAAAAACAGCTGCAAGTAATTTCTATCCTTTGTGGAAGTCCTTAATTATTTTAGTAAATGAATGAATCATTCCTAATTCTAAATACAAGGGTTTATGAAACAAAGACAACTTACTTAGTTTGCTTTAAAATTTTGATGCTATATGCTTTTAGGTATGAGATTGCCTTCAAATGCCAAAATGCTAATACAATTTTCAAAATATTACTACTACTAACATCCATAAGCATCAAAATAAAAGGAGGAAACGTTTAATAATAGTTTAATTAGACTGACAGCAAACATTAATTTTTATGTGGTTTAGAAAGCAAAGTCTCTGTAAAAGGACCTATAATGAAACTACAGCCTCAATTATGCATGGAGAGGCAATTCTGTGTGTTGGGAATACAAGTCCTGAGTTGGAATTATGACTGCCATGTGCAATGCACTCCATGTACAGTTTTTTTTTCTTTTTACTCTGGTTTCATTTTTATAGACTGTCATATACTATATATGAACTCATTTTTGCACTAAACTCTTTGGCAAACTCACCTCAGTATTTAAGGAATTGCCTGTCTATTTGAGAACTTGGCTTAAAACAACAAAGGGGCAAATGGTAGAAAGATGGCAAAAATCTGCTTTTAAATTAACAGCCAATGAGCAGAAAATAGACATTTACACACAAGTTAGTCTGAGTTTCTAAAATAAGCTATGCTTAATTATAAACTATGTACATCTTTAATTTGCATTAAACCATAGGTTTTGTTGGGCTTTCATGTCTTTGAGGCAAGGTGGGTTCTCTGTGTATTCAATGCTGGGGAAAGTTGTCACCCTAGGACTGTTTCATCATTTAGAAACCTTCACAGTGACATTACCTAAGACTTTTAAGGCATCCTTGATTATTTTGTCCCTTTTTTTAAATTTGACTTTTTCAAATGACATGATTTTGGTCCCAATGGTTTGTTAAACTGGTTTAAATTTTCTCTGAATTCCTTAGATTACAATAATACATATGGATGCTTGCATGATAGCTACATTTCTTAACCAGAAAGCTGGTTTTCATGATGACACAATTTAATCGTAACAATATAACTTAATATGTGTAAAACTCTGTTTATGATTCACCTGAATCTCTGCAGGTATGCTTCTCACAGCCTTCTTCATCTCAGCTGATGGCAGTAGTTCATTCTCTCCAATCTTGCATTTAATTTGTACCAACCTCCTATTGTCTCTACTTTCAAAATATATCCTATAATCTGAACATTATCATCCTTCCAACAACACTACTCTGGCCAGGCCACCATGACCTTCTGCCCGGATTATAACATAATCTCCTGTCAGGTCTCCCAGATTCCACCCATTCCCTGAGAAGCTATCTGCAGACCAGCACTCTGTTTTCCAAAGCATAAATCACACCGTGTCACTAGAAAGCCTTCTTACAAAGTAAAGGAGTATGAGATATTTCTAGCTATATATTATGATCCTTTCAGGCTTAGCTCAGGTAAGGAAAAATTTAGATACTTATCAATATACAGATTATCATACAAGACACATGCTCTGTGTTGAAAGGCACTGGATGAAGAGACAGACTAATCTAAATTCATATTCAATTTCCACTGTCAGTTGACATAAATTAAAAAATCAGGTTAATATCTCTAAATCTCAATTTTCTGATATATAACATGTGATCAAAATGACAACATACCATTACATATCTCTGTGATAATGTGTAAGACTGATATATCAAATTGCAATCAGAAAGCACTTAAAATGTTTATAGCAGGGCATTTCATCCTGGAAATTGGTTGCAGAGGTAATGTGGATTTGGGGAACCAAGTAAGGAGTGATGGGGGTAATCCAGAGATTATCAATAGTAGAAAGCTATTACTACTTTTAGATTGGAGGGATAAAGAGTGATAATATTAGATACCAGAGATCATCCTGTCAGTACTTGAGCCACCATAGGCCTGTCAGATGCAAACTGGAACCACAGAGAAGCCACATTTGAAAACTGCTCAGCAAAGATGAAGGTGAGAATGCCTTGGCTTCTCTCTTCTCACTGCCTTCCAAAAGGCACCCTCACCAGAGTCTCCATTGTTGAAGGTAGCCAGAGCCAGGTGGCTGTGGATCATGAAAAATGCAATCCGAAGAGGTGAGCTCCTCTTATACAGAGTGGAGCAGGGGAATAGAGAACAGATTAAGAACAATCAAGTCCAAGACTAGGACAATCTATCACCAAAGATCTTAAAATTGGCTGTGTAGTACAGAGGATGATTAAGTGTTCTTGCAAAGAAGCAATTTAATATTCCCATGGCATAGATAAACTTATCTGAAGGGTAAAGGAAAGGAAAGTTGTCGTTATGGGATGGGGTTGATAGATGTCAAAATTAACATTGAATTGCCAAGGTAAATAATTCTAGCAGAATACTGATATTGTTTTATGCTTTTTATTACTTGTACACTTCACATGTCTAATAAACCTTCTTGATGAGAATAAAGATTACATGCAACTGTCAACCAAGAGAGTATACTAGTAATTAAATTTTGAAAAAAAAAAAACAGTAGTATTTGAGGTTGTTTATTGATTTACAAATGTGAAGCAGTCATTGAGACATCTGAGTTATCTAAATGTGAAAAAATAACTTTTAAATAACCTAAGTCCAGATGCATACATGAAAAAGAGCAAAGCTGCTCATTGAGGTGGATACACAGTCACCATCAATTATAATGGGTTTCATTCATAATCAATGGGAAAACAAGTCTCTTAGGAACTTAAATTCATTATCTATTGTGTTGAATGATGTATATTTTTAAATGTTTATGATAATAACCTTAGAATGTAAAAGCATGTCTTGGAAATATATTGTTGTTAATGTCTTCTTGCATCGTGGTAATGTTGCATTTCCATTAAAGAAGCTGAAAATTCAAGTACTGCATTTGAAACACCTGAAATTTCTAGTTTGGACATAAGCTCAGCCTTGTAATATTATAAGGACTTAGCTTTGCAGTTACTCCAGGTCAAAGAGATTAGCAAAGCAGTTTTTTCTTACCATGTTAACATGAAGCTCAAGAGTCAACCAAGTAACACTAGATAATTCTGAAGAAAAAAAAAATTGCTATCGCATAGAAACTCAGTTTCAGTAAATTAAGAACTAAATATATATCTGCAAAAAAATTTTGCCATGACCAATTTTTTCAAACTGTGATTAAGCAAGATCAGGTAAATCACAAATATTTTAGATTGCTTTGGTTAACTCCACAGATATGCCCTGTTATTGTAATTAGCAGCATCAGTTATAAAGTTTACAGAAGGAAAAACATGAAGCTAATGCTCTAGGTTAGAAATTAGTTTAAGAACAAAGAAGAAAAATATGTGTTCAGTTAATGCCAAATCAAATCTCTGGTGGTAAGATGTGGGACTTTATTATTCAAGATGAAGCTTTTTAGAAATAAGACTTTACAAACTGTAAGATCCTGGTCAAATTTTATTTTGCTGACTTGAGGTTAAATTTCTTTGAGCTTTCAATAAGTGTCTTTTGTACTATGTTTGTATTATAAAGTAGTAATGATAATATGGTTGTGTTTCCTCCTACAATATTTGATTTGAAAGTCCCATGTTTTTGTCAAACAGCTTGCAAATGAACTTAGCAATTTTGGAAGTAGAAAGCAATAATAAATGGAAATAAATATCTTTGCTCACATATTTTCAGTGAAATGCCAACATTAGTCTCTTTCAGAATTACATAGAAATATTGACAAACATACAACTATTTTAAGCTGTAAGCCACTATTATTAGTGAACTATCCCTTATTTTTGTTTCTGGAGAATTGTAAAAATTACATTTGAATTTCTCAGTACACTTAATAGTGCCTGAATGAGAGCATATTCTGTGAAGGCTGAGGAAAATTCTGAAACGCTGATCAGACTTTAGGTAAATTTTATCACACACAAAAATATTCCTTTCTGTTCCCTCTAGAATATGTAATGTGGAGTAAAATCACTTATCACTAAGTGCCACTAATTATATTCCACCATAACTGTATTATTTTAAATTATTGTATCTTTTAGAAATGATCTCTAATGTGTTTAAAGTTAATATTTGATGAAAACTTGTTAATATTTAAATAGTTTGCCTAATGCAATAGTTTCTACTGAAAATTGGAATGTATCATGTGATCATCTTGAATTGAATAAAAGGAAAACCCCAAATGATCTTTCTGTTGGTCAATTACACTTAACTATTTTGAGGACTTTAGATTTTTCAGAAGTTTACAAATATGATTGATATGAATTGGAATGAGTCTATAATCTTCAAGTGTTCATTTTGAATGTTATTTTTGTTGTATTTCAGTTAGTTTCTAGAGATTTTGACATTTATTATAGCCTGCATTTTTAATGGTAGAAAACTTATAATCTTACCAATAAAATACAAAAGATTAATATAATTTATATTTTGATTTATCTAGAATCCATTTATTTAATTAAATTGGTAACTTTATTATTGACTCATTTGAATAGTTCATTATTTTTAGGGGGTAATTATTATTTTAACAGTAAAATACAAGAGAAATTTAAATTGTTTTGTGTTGAAAATGTAGAACAGTGTGATTCAGAGCATTTAAGGAGTCCTAACAGAGAGAATGTCAACTACAGTGCTGGAAGTGTAGTTACATGGTTCAAGGAAATGACCTTACCATCATAAAAAATGAATGTGGTTGGACTCTGGCTTGTTTACACTGATATTCTTTCAAAGCATGCTTCATAATTTGTTATTAAACACAAGCCAGACTTGGAAAGACAAACTTTTCATGTTCTCACTTATTTGCGGGAGCTAAAAATTAAAACAAACCCATAGAGATAGAGAGTTGAGTGATGGTAGGGTGAGTTGGAGGAGAGTGGGGATAGTTAATGGCTACAAAAATACAGATTGACGGAACAAGTAAGATCTAGTATTTGATAGCACAATAGGATGACTACAGTCAAGAATAATTTGTTGCACAGTTTTAAAAAACTGAAAGAATATAATTGGATTGTTTGTGACACAAAGGATAAAGGCTTCAGATAATGAATACCCATTTACACTGATATGATTGTTATGCATTACATGCCTGTATCAAAATAGCTCATGTACCCCATAAATATATACAACTACTATGTACCCATAAAAATTTAAAAAAAATAAAATTTTAAAAAGTTGACTTTTTGTGTGTGTCAAATGGCAAAACTTCCTAGATTCATCCCTTACCCAGAACAAGGCTGGGGAGGAAATAGAGGATGGCGGATGACTTTTTTTTCTTTTCTCTTCTATTTTTTTTGAAGTGTAGTATGTCCTCACTTAACATGGCCGAGAGCTTCTTGGAAACTGTGACCTTAAGTGAAACAACGTATAACAAAACCAATTTTACCATAGGTGAATTAATGTAACAAGAATTAAGTTCCCATGGCATATTTCTCATCACAAATACATCACCAATTTCCAAATAAAGATGAAAACATTTCTACTAATAAACATTGAAATTAAAGTGAACTATACATACATTTAAGAAAGATTAATAAAATAAGTAAGATGATTATTTACCCGCGTATTCCACTTCAAGGCTGTGGGTGGCCGGAGCCCATCCAGTGGCCAAAGCGGGAGCCAGCAGTGGACGGGACGCCATCCCATCTCAGCACTGGCTCACATACCCCCACCCTCACTGAGACTGGGACCACTCAGAAACGCCAGCTAGCATGCACAGCTTTGGGATGTGGGAGGAAACCAGAGAACCTGCAGAAAACCCACGCAGACATGGGAAGAATGTGTGAACTCTACACAGACAGTGGCCTGGACCGGGAATCAATTTTCCTTCTCATCAATGTTATAAAGAAACGGCGTGTAATGAAACAGTACTTGAGGACCTCCTGTACTTGATGTTTTCTGAATAAAAAAGATCATCTAGAGGGCTTCCCTTGTCTCTTTGTAACTAGTTAGGTCACAAAAAAATGAGAATAAACACCTCTCTGACTTTCACAGTCTGTCCATTTTCTAACCCCTTCCTAGAATTGGGGTGCTTTTTATACAAAAAGTAGTTATGCATCAGTAATACATTCATATTTTATATTTCTCAAGAACTTTCACTCAAAAATCCATATCACTATCTTAAATATACATGAAGAGTTTGACAAAAAAGCCTGCTATTTTGAATGGTAATTTTCAAGGTTTTTTTTGTACATTATTCCATTTGTTACTCAAACTTATAGAAGTTCTCATGAATATAGATTAGAAAAGATGTCCTTTACAGAGAAAGAAATTGAAAACTCAGAGAAAAATGGTTTTCCAAAATAAATGAAGTGCAGTGCTCTTTGAAATCTGTGTTGTTTTGATTTTGGATTGAAGACACTGCAGCAGATACTTTACTATGCCAGAAATCCCAGTGAAACTGATTCTCCATGCCAATAATGGAGATTCCCTCTCCTTAGAATATTTTTGTCACCTTTGGAAACATTAACTTTCCTCTAGAATTCCGCAGTTGGAAATAATCTCTCCTTTTCCCCTTGGACTCTTTCATCATGGAGATTTTTGTCTTCTTTCCATAATGAATGTCTTCATTATTCACGTTCCTGTTTCCTCCAGACTGCAAAGTCAGGAACCAGGATTTATTTATCTTTTTGTTTTCCATAAGAAAGTATTTTTCACGCGGTAGTGCTTTATATGTATTTGTTTATTTAATAAAGTATATCATTATCATTTTGATGATCTGTAAGTAAGGAAATTAATGTGAAACTATGGATAAAACAAACATAGCAAATCATTACGGAACTCTCAGAAGTTTAATAATCAATGCTTACATAATTTCTCTAACAAGGTAGGCAAATAAATCAAGTATCTAAACTGAAGAAAGTTTGTGGGACTATAAGTAAAATAGTTATAATAAGAACCAATGAAAGAGTCCTTATTTAAAAGGCCAGATGGAAAATTTACATTTAACTTGCGTGGTGGATGATGTGAGGTGGGGAGTCATGCGGAAGTTGAGCAACTTTATTTGGATCCTGTAAACTACTGAGAATAGAAATATTCCTGTGATGTGTTCATTTTATAAAAAATTTGAAATGAGTAGAAAATGACTACATAAGGTGCTGAGAGCTCTTAGGGCAGAGTTGCGTGAAAGAACTAGTGTAGAATCCTCCGAATTTAGGTACTTTTGATGATGAAAGTTTGGAGTAAAGTAACATGTTGTTACACTTATGCATTGTGAGTCATTTTTAAAAATGTAGTACCTTGAGAGTAGAAATACTAAATTTCTTGACTCATAAAATAAAAGCAGGCAATCTTCTATCCTTGAGGATATTGCTGTCTATAGCAAGAAGAAAAAGGGGCTGATACCACTGCTGTTGTCACAGTCATATATATTCCTAAGATTTCTTAATTGTAACCTTATGGTTTATACAAATTATATATGTGAAAATGTTTCTGAATGGTTCACTTTCCCCCTAGATGACTGCATGATGATTGAGTTACAACATTACGTAGTAATCTTGTCTCATTTAAATCAAGTAAATCAGAAAAATCATCCAAGTTTTAAGCAAAGTCAAACATATTCCAAAAATTGTAAAATAATTTACAGTTAAGCACCATAGATATTCCACATTGCTAATTCAGAAGGTTTTCTATTCTTTCAAATAGATTCCTTTATTCTCATGGCTCTGAGTGGTTACTACATTTGTTTAGGATATTTTCAATGAAATCTGGAGATTTAAAAATACTGTGGTGTGGTTAGAAAACATCTTTTCTTTTTATAGAAACTTTATGATATTTCATAGATCAAGGACGTTATTCTTTACTATTCATTTGATGTCACAAAGATCTACACATTCAATAGTATTCATGTATTTATTTAAACCAGAGGGATTGGAATCCTCTAGGCTCATTTTTTTGATGTGTATGTCTCTCTCTCTCTCTCTCTCTGAAGTTCAGAGGTTTTTAATTCACCTCATTATTCATATAACATTATTATAATAATTCCTAAATATTCAGAAAAAGAGTATTTATAACATTAAGAGGGATTTAGTCATAAGCAGATGCATTTTAGCTAACTTGATTCATGTGTTGAGAATCCTTAGAGAAGGCCCACATGTGATTCATATCTGAAGCCTCTCCTAAATATCTCACAGAGATGGACATAAAGATTACCAATTATATTAAACAAGTGTTTACTATTTTAAACATTACAGTTGACATGCTATTAACAAAGCATGGGAGAACAAAAGCATTTAAAAATTTGTTTGTGTTTTGTAACTAATCAGCATTAACTCAGGATCTTTTTCTTAATGTCTTGATACAGATGCATGTCTGTCATTTCAAAAGATGTTTAATCTGTTGTTTATATATGCATAATTTAAGTTAAATGATTTGAATTAGTTTCCAATCACTAGCATTGGACAAAAATCATATATGTGTACTTAAATATATATTAATAATACATAGTGACTTGGTTCATATATAATTATGATTTAAAATGTTTCATATGGCTCCCTTTTTAGATTATTTATTAATAGGCAAAGTGATGAGCATGAAAAGCAAACTTTACACAAGTCATTGAAAAAATCATATACTTTAGAATTTTGAACTGCTTTAGACGTTTAATAGTATCCAAAATACAGTGCAGAGATTTTTTTAACACACAGACTGCTACACCAATACCAGTCTTTGCTTGAGTGTCACCAAATGCACCAAACGACAGAGAGCTTATTACCACATAAGACATTCTACCCCATTATTGCATAGCTCTAATCTCAGAAAGATATTATTTATGTTAAAATGAAATTGCAAAGATATTCTTATGCCGAGGCTATTAGGATATAAAAGTTATAATTGTGTTACTTCTTGATATTATTACTCTTAGTGCCAGGCACCAGGTCAAAGAATCACAAAACATACGGCAAAGGGTATGGGTTTTTGACAGTTCTGTGATTTCTTTACTGCAGGACCTAACACTATATTGTGCATATGAAATTTCTAAAAGAAGAAAATGATATGCAGCATTTATTAGACTTTATATAACTGAAGTCACTCCTAGTAGATCTTCTTCTCCAAAACAGCAGTTTGTGAATTGCTGAGTAAGAGAGCTGCTCAGTCTCTGGAGCTTCTTGTTATGGCTCACTTGTTCCCCTGAGATTGGAGATGTATTAGCTAGGGTGGATGGCTGTGTAGTTTATCAGATAGACTCAGTTCCCATTGGCACATGTCCATGCTAGTTGACTGTATTAATAAGGAATTTTCCATGCTTCATTGATTCATAAGTATATTGAATGTTTCTGTAAATATCTTTCATTTCTTAACTTAAATATGCAAGAGAGAATTAAGGAAGGAATATAAGACAGGTATTGGGAAAAGAGAAGAGACTGCTAATGGCTCTCTTTTTTTCTTACCATATTCAGAGACAAATTAGTCATCTCTGTTTATTTTAATAAGGAAAGAACGTATTCTGTTTAGAAAAGGTTTTATTGGTGGGAACAGTCGTTAAATCAAGACAAACATGTTGTAATATATGAGAATGATGCTATAAATTTTCTCCCTTTTTTTCTTTAAATGTTATGTGGAATTTCCAGGAAGAAAATTTAAAGTTAATTTAATAAGTTTTACTCCATATACTATGACTCTTTAATTATTTTATTTAAAGTATTTACTTGCTAAGAGTAATGCCTTGACAAATTTTATGATAAAAAGTTTGTTTCATTTTAAAATAGAAACAATACTATCAAGATTATTATTCATTGTAGCAAATAAAATGAACTGACCCTGAAAAGGCTTATTTTCTGAATGTGCATCTGTAATTATTTGGTTTAAAAAGTTCATTGAAGTAAGTAAAGTGGAGAGTTAATAGCTCCCATTTGCAAATAGGTGACATAACTTATTGTAATGCTCAATTATCTCTGGTCCATGGATTGTTCTACTATGCAAACACTCATCTGCCCAAATAAATACTCATTAAGGTGAGCATCTATGCCAAAAATACAAATTTTCTGTATTTTCACTTTTATTTACATAGTAAACTCTGGAGAAATGTACAAAAAGCACTAATAAAAATCTTGGAGTTTAGGTATAATTTGAAAAATTAGATGCCCATTAAAGAGCAGTAAAGTAGTTTGTTTAGAAAAATGTTTAAAATTATTTTGTTAGATATATTTCCCGATTGGAGAATAATAAATGAACCTTACATTAACCCCCAAATCCTATTTCTTTTAGAGTAGAAATGGTCATGGGTGAAAGAAATAAGAATATCACTCAAGTCATAGGTTAGAATAATAAATAGCACACATGCCCGCACTGTAAGTTCTTCAAACTGAGTGAAAAAAGGAGAGTTCATGCATCTCATTCAAACTTCAAAGCTAGTTTCTCCTTTTTATGTTTAAACCAAAGCTTTCAAGAATGGAGGCCAGGTTTCCTTTACAATTTAAAATTCAAAGAGCACCACTTTGAAATTTAATAGAGCAGTGTTTGCTAAAGTAAACATTTTAGTCACAGTGAAGGCAGATGCCTCTGTGCATCCGCAGCCTTTCTGTAGGTATTAAAGCAGTGCTTCAAACTACTGCAATGTCTCTTCCCCAACAGCCATTCAAAAAAGATATAGATTTCACGGAATGCAGAATTCCACTTCCCCAAACAAAATGTACCTTTATCATTAAAGGAATTTCGAAACTTCAAACTTCTGATGGTAATTTAAAAGTAGTGCCTTAGAAAAATCAAAAAGAAACACTGAAAATGAGGATCTCAGATTCCTGTTAAAGGGTTTTACTACCGCTAACTACCCCATCTACAACCACACTGGCCTGCAGAAAACTGTCTCTGGGAGAAAGGAGAGAGAAGTGGGTTAGACAAGCATTTATGGTGATCAACACGTGGTGTGAGAAGCCTTTTGTATTATTAAAAAATGGGTTACTAACACTGCTCAGTGAAAGGCGCTGTTTCTTTTACAATGCATACCAAATCCAATTATGGAAAAAGAACAGTGGAAATTCTTTTCTTATTGAGAGCTAAACCAGCTTACTAGACCATGTAATTTTTTTCCAGTAAGCCTAGAACATAGACATGTATATGTATTAAAAGAACTTTTCTCCATGCATTGACTATTACACATTATCAAATATCTTTTTATTCCTGCCAAATATTTATTTCTCCTTGTTGTTTTATTGTTTTAATTATTTTTCATTCAGAATATATTTACATGGATAAATAAATTGAAAATGAATAATAGAAGAACTTCAGAATCAAATGATCTAGGGAAAAATGCATTTGAAAATATTGTTTTTATTTAAATATGTTTACACTTCTGGGTCTTTATATTGGAATACATATTATATATAGTATAAATTAAGAAATTAATTTAGAAATTATATGTATACATAAAATTATAAATATGTATACAATTTTTATTAGGAAGATATTGATTTGTAAATTTGATATATAAATATGAAGTTTTATATAAATCTAAAATTTTCAAATTTTATATGTGTTAACATAAAAATATGTTTGTTAGTAGTCAGATTTTTCCAAGCAATAATTTGGATTAATTTCTCTTATTATTTTCCATATAACAAGCCAAATATGTTTTGATTTTTTAAACATACTGTATTTATGAATATATGGTTGGCATTGTACAAAATCCAAAATTTTTTTAACAGTCCATTGATAGCAATAGGTAAGTATCATACAGATTTATATTTAATTTTATAAGAGAAATTTTAAAAAATTTATAATTTTTCATATTAGCCACATATTTTTAACTTCTTAATTGTAAACCTACCTTGATCCCTAGAACTGTTAAATCCTTTTAATCTAAGGTATGTTAAAGTACATTGTATTTGGCTATAAACTTCTCTTCAAATGAAATTCAATCAATAAAATAAAAAATAAACAAGAAAGGAGTCATATTTCCAAGCATACAAGAGGCAAATTCAAATGCATTCTTCTATTTGTTGTGCTATTGGTTGAGTATGTTTTCTCCCTGGCACAATAATTGTAGCATTGCAGTTTTCTGGCAACAAATGGCTTCTGGGGGTCACCAAATGTCTCTGATTTGCTAAAGCATTTAATCTTCCACAAAAGCTGTTTACTGCTTCATATATGCTGAACGCCAGGAACATTATCTTTTAAATCATGCCTAGCTGCTAATTAACGGATGTATAAACGTCTAACAGCCAAGTCTTTAAACGGAGCCATGAGTGAGTACAGCAGCCATTCTGCACATAGCTAAAATAGAGATCTGATGAACCATAAACTCTGATTTTTCTACATAGCAATTGTCATGCTGTGTGTCTAACCAGACTGAAGTGCATTTGAGAAATTTACTTTAAAGCCATCTGAAACTGAAAATGTATTAGCAGCGCTAGAAGGGTTCAGTAGTGCATTATTAGGTTACTGGGCTGCATTGCTGTCTCTCCTGTTTCTCTTGGATGTCTGCATTTTAGAAGCAAAACAAAGGCTTAGGGTTCTGAATTTAATCCCCAGATTTGACTTTATGTCATTGTGAGACTTTTGTCACCACAATTTCTTGAACTTATTTTTCTAAAACAAATAGAAAATACTTTCAAAATACTTATTTGATGTCTTTTTTTTTCCAGATAGGCATAATTTGACCTGACCAACACAGCAAATTAACAGAATCACCTAGGACATTTTACTGCATTTAATATTTATTGAGCATCGCCACTGGTTGGTACTGTACTAAATACTTTTACAGGCATAATTTCTTGCACTCCTGATAATGATACTATATGCTATAAAGGAGTTATTAATATATTTAGTTTCCAAATTAGAATACGTAGAATTTGGAGACTTAGGCTTTCATGACTTACTAAGAGCAGAGAGATCAGAACTGGAATCAAACTGCACACTGGCTGACACCAAATCTTTAACAACTAGATTACACTTCCACTAGTCTTGATACATGATATGTTCATATATTAGCAAGCTTTTTATATCACAATGAGAAAACTGCTGGGAAATAAAGAGTAACCCAAGAGTAGCAAAGGAAGGAGCAAAGCATGGCTAAGCAGACAATATAGAATGGCAGAAGAAAAAAGTGGAAGGGAATGACTCTAATTTTTCAAAATAGTACTACATGACCCTCTTATTCTAGGAATTATCTTCGAATTTGGAAAATGGTAAAAAGGTAAATATAACAGACAAAATATAGAGTACCACTCCCTACTTACTGAATTGTGAAGATAGAGCAGAAACAGTAATGACTAAACATGAACTAAAATTCCACCACTAAAATGTCTTTATTATTTTTTCCTAAGAAATTTCATTTATGTCTCAGAGCCCTTGTTTCCTTTTCCTTCAAGCAAAGCTTATAAAATGATTATGGAAATGACATAAGCATATATCTGGGGAATGAATGAACTGAATGAATGATTTAGAATGGAAAGTTCTGATTTCACATCTACTATGTCCTGGATTGGCAGCAATGTCTCTTTAACCATGTTACTTCAGTGCTCTTTCTTCATCTGCAGAAAAGGCTTAATCATGCTCAATTTTATGCATCATTATAAGGATTCAATGATGCAATATTTGCAAAGTACTCCATAAAATAGAAAGATCTTTAATGATTCTTGTTCTTTGTTCTTTGACCTTATCCCCATGCCATCCTGTGTACCTTCCTGCTGTTCTAAAGTGCCACACATCCCACAGCAGATCTCCCACAAAAACCCTGTTTCCCAAATTATGTGTCTTCCAACCTGTTATAGCAATTCTCAGTCGCCTAATATAATGAATGTAATTAATGATCCAAGAAACTTCAGAGTTTTGCTCAAATATTTTTTATTAGGGAAAGTTTCAGTTAAGGGTGGAAAATAAAACAAAAAAAAATGTTTCAAGAAGATGAAAGGATGATGGCTACAAAGAAAATAGACCCATTTTATGCAAGGACTAAGCTCACTAGCATCATGAGATCCATGGGAGAGAAGAAGTCTCCTCCTCTGGCACTACTGTGTACTCTCCTCTTATCACTGGGTGTCAGACCAGGAGAGAGGAAATCTAAGAAATAACTGTGAGAAAGAATCCCACATATGAAGATGACAACAGCAGTGGTACTTCTCCCTGTAAGAGAGTATGAAATGGGGTGTGTGTGTGTGTGTCTGTGTGTTTGTGAATTTGCATTAGACCAGAATATGATTAACACTGTCTGTATGAGTTCATTTAGCTGGAGAGCATTTTTACAGACAGTTTATTATGGGATGACTTATTTAAAATTAATGATTAAATTTTAGTAAGAACTTTAAAAATTTTTGAAAAATACGCAAAAAAAAAAAAAAAAAAAGCTTGGCAGGACTCTACTATGTCCATGAGATCAAGTTTTTAGTTTCCATATATAAGTGAGAACATGTGATATTTGTCTTTATCTCAAAGAAAGAGCTTATTTCACATAACGCATTGACCCTCAGTGTCCATTCATGGTACTACAAAGAGCTGGGTTGCATTCTTTTTTATAACTGAATAGTACTCAGTTGCATACCTATATGCTAAATTTTCTTTGTTCATTCATCCACTGATTTTTTTAAAGAAAGCAACACTATATATGATTCTCTTTATGTTACATTATGGAAAAGGCAAAGTTGTAGGCATGAAAATCAAATGAGTTGTCAGCTGGTAGAAGAGGTGTAAGCAATTTACTAAACGGGGGCATAAGAAAATTTGGAGGGAATAGAAATATTCTATATCTTCACTGTAATGGGGTAACATAATATATACATGTAAATATACACTTATCAAACCTCTTAAAACTGTCCACGTAAAAAAAGGTGAGTTTTATTGTATGTAAGTCATACCTCAATAAACCTGACCTTAAACGAACAAACAAGGAATAAACTTAGAGTAAAAGGCACTTTAAAGATCATTTGATACTAGATTCTCTGTGGTGCAGACACATTACCTTTGGTGACAGGTGTGCATAAAATCTACAAGGATGGGGCCAGGCATGGTGGCTCACGGCAGTAATCTCAGCACTTTGAGAGGCTGAGGTGGGCGGATCACTTGAGGTCTCGAGTTCAGGACCAGCCTGGTCAAAATGGTGAAATTCTGTCTCTACTAAAAATACAAATATTAGCCAGGTGCAGTGTGTCAGAAAGCTGAGGCATGACAATTCCCTGAACCTGGGAGGCAGAGGTTGCAGTGAGCTGAGATTGCGCCACTGCTCTCCAGCCTGGGTGACAGAGTGAGACTCCAGACTCCATCTAAAAATTAAATAAATAAATAAATAAATAAAATTTTAAAAATCTACAAGGATGGGAAATGTATTACTCTAGGAGATACTTTATTCCAATGAACAAATTCAACCAAAAATTATTAATCCTGAGCTAAATTTTTCCTCCCTAGGATAATTCCAGCGCTTATTCCTGAGGCAACTCCAGTGTGCATCTGTCTTCTCCATGAATCTATTTTACACATTTGAGGACAGATGCCATTCTTCATTTTATCTTCTTTCTAAGCAGTCCCTTCAACAATTTTTCAAGTAACCATTCCCAACCTATTTTCATATTCTTCTACTAATGCTCTAGACACAGTTTTAGTTTGTAAATATCCCTGTATGGTGGCACAGACTCAGCATAACATCTACTATTTGAACTCATCATCGTAGCTCACAGAGGGACCATTATGTCCTGTGATAGGGACACCAAACTTTTATGAGTGCAAATTAAAATTGCTTTAGCTTCATTACTAGTCAAATAGTACTTTGGGTCATATTTAGTCATCAGATAAAACCTCCAGTTATTTTTCACATGAACTGTTACTCAATATGTCTCCCACATCTAGATTTTGTGCAACTTATATTTTAAAACATAAATATGGTACTATGTGTTTATCCATACAAATTTTATTTCAGTACTTCAGCCAGCTGAGATATATTTGAATCTTGCTCTGTCATCTGTTGAATACATTAAGCATCATCTGCAAATCTGATAAAGTGTCTTATTTAAACATAACAAAGAACATTCAGTTGGTGTTTTTGCATTTTATTTTCTTTGGTGCATAGTGCTTTCCTTTAGAAATAAAATCCACAGAAAAATAGAATATATTCAGTTAAATACAACAGATAGATATTAAACACTTATGTTTGAATATAACTGAAAAGAAGATGCCATCAAGGATTATCAATACAGTTGGTGAGTCATATATGCAAAATAATGGTGAAAATAATGAAATTATTAAAATAAAAATATAACCAAATTATATAAAAGAAAAAGGGGACAAGTAATTAAGGTGAAATAACTTAGAAGTGGGTATCACACAGATGGTTCTGGAAGAATGAGTAGGCATTCATCTGGGACAAAAAGGAAAGTAAATAATTTCCAGGCAGAGAATTAGGACAAAAATTTCATGGCAAAATATATTAAGCAAAACTTTCAAATTACCATCCATAGACCACCTGCACTATATCACCTTAGTGATGTATGGAAACTACAGATACCTAGTGAAAACTACATCTACAACAGTATCTCTGGATGAGGCCAAAGAAACTACACTTCTGTCAAACTACCTTGGTGATTGTTATTCATGTAAATATTTGAAGACCACTGTTTTATGGCAGAAGAAATTGTTCAGTATCTTGGAGTATATGCTGTTGAAAAGAGATGCAGCTGGTAAATAAGCTCATGCTCTGACTGTGGAGGATCTCATGCCATTCTCAAGAGTTTGGACTTTGAGAAGGGAAACTACTGAAAATGTTCTGCAGGATGGTGACATGGTCACTTTCGTCTTCAGGAAAATACAGTCTGGGTTCAATGGCTTGCTCCTGTAACCCCAGCAATTTGAAAGGCCAAAGCGGGCAGGTTGCTCGAGCTCAGGAGATGGAGACCAGCATGGGAAATATGGTGAAACCTTGTCTCTACAAAAAATACAAAAATTAGTCAGGCATGGTGGTCCAAGCTACTTAGGAGGCTGATATGGGAGGATCACTTGAGCTCAGGAGTCAGAGGTTGCAGTGAGCCAAAATTGCACCACTGCACTCCAGCCTAGGTGACAGAGCCAGACACAGTCAAAAAAGAAAGAAAGAAAAGAAAGAAAGAAAGAAAGAAAGAAAGAAAGAAAGAAAGAAAGAAAGAAAGAAAAGAAAGAAAGAAAGAGAGAGAAAGAGAAAGAAAGAAAAAGAAAAAGAAAGAAAGAAAAAGAAAAAGAGAGAAAGAAAAAGAGAAAGAAAGAAAGAGAGAGAAAGGAAGGAAAAGAAAGAAAGGAAATGAAAATACATGTGGCAGTGCGAAAAATACACTAGGCAAAACAGTGTATAAAGATATGGCGGTCTTTGTAAGATGCTAAAAGCATTTCCAAGTGGCAAAATCTTAATCTACATCAGATACCAAAAGATTGATGAGGAAGACTGCTGAGGAAATTCATGAGAATCAATGAGCATTTTAAATTTAAGCATTAGAGAGCCTGG